>NC_000004.12:94678956-94981987 GCF_000001405.40 Homo sapiens | reverse complement strand
GACTGACCACCAGGATTCCACTAGTGTGTGTTCTCTGTGTTCTTAAGCCTATCTGCTGAAAGGGCATATCATTTTGCAGCATGTAATTCTGGTAAGAGTTCACCAGCTACAGCTGTATAATTCAACTGGGAAATATTCTGAAAAGTGAAGCTGATTTACTGAAACTATTGGAACCTAAGAATCATCATGGGTTTACATGATGATTTTAAACATTTAGATACGTTTATCAGGCACAGTTGCCATTTCTATTGTTCAATTAAACACATAGGATAACTTTCCTTAGAGTGTATTTAGTGGAAAATAAAGTCTCCTAATCATAGGTTACATTTTCCAAGTCTTAGTGTCAATTTAGGTTCTTATTTTTTAACAGCTGAAATCATCCATAAACTAAGCAGGCTAAATTAAATTGTAAGAAAATAAAAAGCAATGAAGTACTGGTCACATTTCAGAAAGGCAAGCTAATCAGTTAAAAACTGATTTAACTATCATGTGGTGTGAGAGTCCTAAGAGTTCCACTGGTAGAGCTTCTCCTCGTGTTTCTATTAGAAATATTAAAATATGCTAACTACTTGAAGAAATTTAATTAAAAATTCAACCATTCAATAGAAGATAAATTTGCTGGGCATGGTGGCTCATGCCTGTAATCCCAGTGCTTTGGGAGGCTGAGGTGGAAGGATGATTGCTTGAGCCCAGGAGTTCAAGGCTGCAGTGAGCAGTGATTGCGCCACTGCACTCCAAACTGGGCAATAGAGCATACCCTCATCTCAAAAAAAAAAAGAAAGGATAAATTTATGAAATTCCATTATTTACCTACCCAAAGCAATATTTTACCTAACTGCATATATAAGTATTACACTACCAATTTTTTATCTAAGGGAATTTCAAGGTAGTAGACAAATTTTCTGCACAATCTATTGGTCATGGAATTCACTGTATATGAGTTAAAATGACAACTTCTACTTTTTGTGTGTGTGTGTGTGTGTGTGTGTGTGTGTGATGGAGTCTTGCTCTGCCACCTAGGCTGGAGGGTAGTAATGCAATCTCGGCTCACTGCAACCTCTGCCTCCTGGGTTCAAGCGATTCTCCTGCCTCAGCCTCCTGAGTGGCTGGGATTACAGGACCGCACCACCACGCCCGGCTAATACCCAAGTATTCTCAACTTGTATTAAGTACCTGTCTTCCCTTGTCTAGTAGACTATATTGTTACAAACTTTGATTTGACAATGATTTGTATTCATTCATTCACTAATTTTTCCAACCCACCTATTCCAATTCAGGGTTTTGGGTGGCCAGAACCTATCTCAGCAGCTCAGGGTGCAAGGCGGGAAATAACTCTGGACAGGACACCATTACCTCACAGAATGCACGCACACACCCACACTCATTCTGACTGGGACAATGCACATATGCCAATTCACCTAATGCACACATCTTTAGGATGTGGAAGAAAATTGAAGTACCTAAAGGAAACCCACACGGACATGGGGAGAAAGCCAGACTCCATACAAAGAGGGGCCTTGGCTGGGAATCAATTTTTTTTCTCATCAATGTCACTGAAGAAAACAATGCTGAACAAGGCATTACTTGAGGACCTGTTGTATATCACAGAGGAATTTACCAGAGGGTGAGTGGTTGAGGCAAAATTAGGGCTACAACATGAAATAAGTAATCCTATTTGGAACTTAACTTATTCTATTATAACCATGCTTTGCCTATATTTTAGAAAATCATTCAAACTATAGTTAATTCACAAAGAAACACTGCCTTCAATTTTGTGATGAATAAATCTTATCAGTGGCCAGTTCAACTGCCAAAAAGTGGTGTGCTTTCTTAGGTACAGTAATAATTGCAGTGAACTGTGATGACTTATTCTGGTATTTTCCATTCATTTGATATCACCTTTAATCCTTTTAAGAGAGCTACAGGGAAGATCGTCTCCTGACAGCCCTGTGAAGATATATTTGTGTTTCAGGCAGGTAGCAGTTTTCTGCTCCTTGGTTTTCACAAGTTGCTGCATACCTGGTACCCCCACAAAAACTAGCTGGATAGTGTTGCTGCTGAAAGCAAAGGGGAAACCGGAGTAATAAGATGCAGTGAGCAGGATCCAGCCTATGCAGACTAAACATCCGAAACAGTCCAACATTTTCCAAAGCACACGTGGCCCACATATGTAGTGACAGAAGATTAGCCAAGCTGGTGTGGCCAAGAAGAAAGGAGATGCTGGCAGCTGCACATTCGTCGCCTTAAATGAAGTTTTCACTATTCATTTTTATGAAGTTTAACCATATGGTTCTTGATATTTGAAAAGATGAATTTTGAGAATCACTGGGACAATCTGTCAATACTTATACAAAGCTAGATTTTAGAAAGAGATGTAATTTTTCTTCACTTTAAAGGGATATTTTTCCTCTTTTCTTACAAAAACACAAGGTTTCTATACCTGGCCAGTTAAAACTATTGCCACTTAAAAATTCTGCATGTCTGAGAACCTGATATAACTTAAAACATGCACCACCCACAGTCATAATTTTGGCTTTGCCAGAGAACTTCAAATTTGATTCACTAAATACTATAGAAGTTCACTAGATGTTTATATAGTAAAACTTGAGGATGAAAACAAAAATATGTGTAAGTTTTTTTTTAACATAAAAGATTCTGTGTCTGTCAACATCTATACCTACAGTCTATTAACTTTGGAGTTGACCTGTAAAGACTGGATACAAAGAAGTATGGATGATTTCTTTTTAATTTTTTTATTTTTGCAAAGATGGTGATATGGTTTGGCTGTCTCCCAAACCAAATCTCATCTTGAACTGTAGCTCTCATAATCCCCACGTGTCATGAAGGGACCCCGTGGGAGGTAACTGAATCATAGGGGTGGGTTTTCCTGTGTTGTTCTCATGATAGTGAGTAAGACAAAGAAGTAGACAGATTTTCTGCACAATCTATTGGTCATGGAATTCACTGCATATGAGCTAAAATGATGACAACTTCTACTCTTACCTTTCGTGTGTGTGTGTGTGTGTGTGTGTGTGTGTATGTATGTGTGATGGTGTCTTGCTCTGCCACCATGTAAGGTGTGCCTTTGCTCCTCCTTCCCCTTCTGCCATGATTGTGAGGCCTCCCCAGCCATGTGGAACCGTGAGTTCATTAAACCTCTTTTTCTTTATAAATTACCCAGTCTCAGGTATGTCTTTATTAGCAGCATGAGAACAGACCAATACAGATGGCCACTACAATCTCTCCCATTCGAAATGTTCTTCTTCTGTTGTCTTTGAGACTCCTCACATTGAGAGGTGGGTTCTAAGTTCTTTCTACTTAGATCCTGATAAGCTTATGTCTATGACAAATGTGATATTATATGATTTCCCATGCTCGTACCACCAATAAATGTTTGGTGTGTGAAAGGCAGGTCATAAAATTTCATTCAACACCACCTTACTCACCAGAATGTGTTTTTGAAGTCTTTCACTACCACTTTAGCAGTCTGCTTATCCAGAGTACACTATGCTGGCAGAAAGGCCAAACCATCCAATGTGGAAAAACTAGAGAGACCTTGAAACTACACGAATAAAGAGATGCCTGGACAGCACCTAGCTGATTCAGCCTGTCACTGTTCCAAATGCAGACACCATCTGACTGCAAATGCATGAGAGACCCTAAACTAGAATTGCCCAGTTGATGCCTGCCAAAAATCCTGGCCCACAGAAACCTTAAAAGGTGATAAAATTGTTTTGTTGTTTTAATCTACTAAGTTTTATGGTTATTTGTTAAAAAGCAGTAGATAACTGGAACATACTTTGATAGCAGAAGTGAGTGCTATAATAAAAAAAATACTCAAAACATGTGGCATTGGCCTTGGAACTGGACAGCATATGGAAGACAGAAGGGCCTGCAAGAGATTGTTAGTGAAAGCCAATGGGCCTCAAGAAATATGGCTGTGTGGGCTTCAGAGAAATGAGGATTAAGTTATTGGAAGGAAGAGATTCTTGTTATGTACTAGAAAAAAAATAGCCATACCATTGCCCATAGTGATGTTGAAAATAGAAAATATACCTAATAAAACTCCAACTACCTAGCTAAGAATATTTCCAAGTAGAATACCGAAAGGAGCACCTGGCTTCCTTTTGCTTCTTTTCTTTTTCTTCTGTTGCCCAGGCTGGAATGCAGTGGTGCAATCTCCGCTCACCACAACCTCCGCCACCTGGGTTCAGGCGATTCTCCTGCCTCAGCCTTCTGACTAGCTGGGACTGCAGGCACGCGCCACCATGCCCAGCTAATTTTTGTATTTTTAGTAGAGACAAGGTTTCACTATGTTGGCCAGGCTGGTCTCAAACTCCTGACCTCATGATCTGCCCGCCTCGGCCTCCCAAAGTGCTGGGATTACAAGCGTGAGCCACTGTGCCTGGCCATTTTTGCTTCTTATAACACATGGACAGAGATAGATGAGTTTACAAAGAAACTTCAAATTCAGCAAAATTTAGAGGAACTAAAAAAAAAAAAAAAAAGGCATCTTGCTGGGTTTGAAAATAAAACTATTTTGCATTCCCTGTCACTCCAGAGAACAAAACAGTCTCAAAATAAGAAAGAGCTTCAAGGGAAAAATAAAATACCAGGTATAGTCAGAAAGACTTGGTTTACAAATAAAAGTAAGGGTGTGACTACCAAAACCCTTTAACACCAATATGATGGCACCTTATACATCCTTTAAGACAGACAAAAGCCTTCTAAAGATGTTAAGGGCATATGTAGCTGACTTTTTCTGCTCAACAACCTAACTACCAGAACCATCAGGGTGTTATCCCATCACAGCCTCACAGGGAATCTCTGGTAAAGAAGCGATTATTTCAAAAATGTAAGGGCATGGCTTTTGCTAATGGGGTAGATTATAAATTGATGCATAAGACACCCTCAAAATTTTAAAACTGTAACACCTGGAACTGAAAGGAAACAAAGACAATACAAAATTAAAAGTGACCTCTGGACACCCAAATTTCCATTCCCAAGAAAAAGGCAGAGGAAATTATCAGCTACAAATACAGGTCATGTTTTTTGGAAAAAGAATGATGAATCAGAAGATGGAAACCAGAGAACAAACAGGAGGAGCCAAGCACCACAGAGAACAATTCCCAGGAGATGGACTGATTACTCATTCAGCAAATGGCAACATGACCAACTGGGTTTCAGAGTCAGTATGGAATATAACAGCCTCTCATTTTCCCCCTTTTGAACAGAAAGAACTATAGAATTTTCCTATGCTTGCCCCACCATTGAATGTTTAGTGTGTGAAAGGCAGATGACTTATCTTTTTAGTTCAAAGGTTTTCCAAAGAACCTTAATTCAAAGGCTTTCAATATTCAAGAAGCCTTAGCCAAGGAGCCTTATCTGTGTCTGGAATTGATTTGGAAGACAAAACGCTGAACTTGAAACTAATGCAGTAATGGAATAAGACATGGGGGGTTTGAGGGCAGAAATGAGTGTATTTTGCATGTAGGAGAGCTATATAAGTGGTTGTGGTTAGAGGATGGACTGTGGCAGATTATATTTTCCTGAGATGACCCCAATGATTTTTCCCATTCCACATGTTGTTTCTTACATATAACTCTGACACTCAAGCCTTGGAGTCTATATTACCTCACCTTGAATTTCTGACCATGGCATAAATGAAGCTATCTGATTTCAGAGACTGGATCATAAAAGTCAATGCAGCTCTCACCTTGCTCACTGTAATACAGTATTCTCTCTTTAAATATTCAGCTGCCATATATACTAGCAGTCTGACTGCCTTGGGGCTGCCATGCTATGAGGAAGCCCAAATTAGCCCATGTGAAGGGACCACACGGCCAGACCCTGAGGTTATATGAAAAGTGAGAAGTGTCTGACTAGCCCCAGCTACTTCAGCCACTTGCTATTCCAACTCTAGTCGCTGCCTGACTGCAAAATGCAGGAGATACCCTAACCCAGAAGCAAATAGCCAAACCCTACACAAATTCCTGACCCCAGAAACTGGAAAAGATCGTAAAATTGTTACTGTGTTTTTAAGCCACTATGGATTTCAATGACCTGTTATACAGATAGAATTAATAGAAACAAAAAGCACCAATTACTAAACCTCATTTTGATTATATGTGGGAAATGTCACAGAAACAACTGAAAACAGCAATAGATACCTGGTAAAAAATTTAGAAAGAAAGGTAAAACATTTTCTTTCAATGACATTGTCTATAAATCTTTGGGAGAAATCATGAAATAAAACCAAAACAGGTTAGGTATTATAATATCATCTTCTTTTTAATACCATGATATTTTAAAAAACAAATTGGCTCATGCCTGTAGTCCTAGCACTTTGGGAGGTGGGTGGATTGCTTGAGCCCAGGAGTCCAAAACCAGCCTTGGCAACATGGTGAATGGCAACATGGTGAAATCCCACCTCTACAAAAAATACCAAAAAAAAAAATTTAGCCAGGCATGGTGGCGCATGCCTGTAGTCCCAGCTATTTGGGAGGCTGAGGTGGGAGGATCACCTGAGCCCAGGAAGGGAGGCTGCAGTGAGTCGTGACTGCACCACTGTACTTCAGCCTGGGTGACGGGATGAGACCCCGTCTCAAAAAAAAAAAAAAAAAACAAAAACAAAAGGAAATTAAGATTTTATTTATTAAAATGAAAAGAGTTCAGATTTGATCACTAAATTATCCAAGTCTCCAGACAAAAACCTCAATCTCTGAGAACGCTCAAGGCAACTTCCTGGACAGAGTTAATGGTTCTGTCCTCCTTGACACCCAATCAATATTCTGCGTCCTATCTATATTCTGGCTGAGGACACATGCCCCTCCTACTCACCTGCTCCACCACCAAAGCCCACATCCTGAGGAGACCTTGGAGCCTGAAGTAGCCCAATACCTTTTGTGGCACCGTAAATAACAAACTGGAAGTTTCGTCCTTGTGAAGTCTGTTGGCTCTTTACAGTTAGTGAAGTGGTTTCCTGGCTATATCTTGGGCTATGTGTAATCTGTCTGACTCAGAGCACAACTGAGAAAACAGAATGCAATAAACTCCAAAATATTTGTTCCAAACCCTTTACGGTTCATTTCTCTTAACTTCTCTGTTGCTAGGTAAAAATAAATGTGTGTCTATTTGTGTGTTTGGGAGAGTGGTGGGAATCAGGCAATTATCTGCATTTACAAAAATTAACTCACTGAATGCTTATTATGTTCCCTGCCTGTGCTAGGAGATTTGGGGACATACAAAGGTACAAACTATAAACGCTGCTCTGAAGCAAGTTTCAATACAGCTGGGAAGACTAACCTAATTAGCGAAAAAAAAGAATTATAAAATAAAACAATTAAGTGCTAAACTGTGCCTTAATCAGGTATTACAGCTTTACTCAGTCTTCACAGAGATGTGAAGCAAAGGAAAAGGTAAGAAATACAGCAAGCAGATCATGTTAAGAACATAAAAGGAGTCTACAAAAGGCAGACAACAGGTAAGTCAGCCTGCATCAGTGATTTCAGGACAGAGTTGGGAAGGCAATGAGGGATACATGAGGAGTCCTGAAAGCTAGTCTGACAAGGGCTGCAGGGAGTCAGTAAAGGTAGCTGATAAGATTCAGCATGAAAAAAAATGATATTTGAAATGACTCTTCTATAAAAAATGAATGATTAAAAATGTTATAAGTCAAATTAAATACCAAGCTAAAAATAATATATTTTTAGAAATAGAAGAAAGTGTTAATGGCCTTAAAATACAAAGAGCACGTATAAATTGGAAAGAAAAATATTAAATAATGGACAAGATCATACAATACACAGAAGACAACCACAGCCATAAAAATAATCACTAACTTCACTGGTGATCAAATAAATGAAAATTAAAACAACAAGAGTTTCTGTTAAGTAAATCAGTATAATTTTTAATAATATTCAGTGCTCAAGAGTATGCAGCAAAAAGCACATTCTTACACTGCTGTTGGAAGCATGAATTGACATAAACATTCTGGAAAGCAATCTGGATATATGACTGGAGTCTTTAAAATGTCGACATTGTAACCACTTTTTTCTTAGTAATTTATTTTGTAAAAATTTATCCAAAGCAAGGACCATAAATTTCAAGACAGAATTCTGAATTCAGTAAATGAATTCTGCATAATCAAAGAGTAATCACTACCATTTACCATCATGATACTGATAGTGATTTAGTACCTACTATCAACTGGGTTCTATGAAAATGCTGTTACTGATAGGGACGGAGGCAGAGAAATTCTAGGCAGAAAGGGCAGCGAAACCCCACCCTCAGTCACAAAGCCTGAAACTGAGGCCCAAAGTGAGAACTTCTATCCCTGTTTACCCGCTCAAATGTTGCCTTTTCCTAAACAACCCATGGCCCCACCCTGCCCTATCCTGTGTTTATAAAAACTCCAGACTCAGCCAGTAGATAGGACTATGGTAGGACATCAAAGAGAAGCAGCTTGACTTCAGAGGGACAGCTTGACAGTGTAACTTCGGAGAAAAATCTGGCAGGAGATGGTCAGACTTCATGGGAAGATGATTATCCGCCCTGTGCCCTTTTCAGCTTCTCTTCCCACTGACAGCCACTTTCATTGACAATAAAATTCCCCACAGTTACCATCCTTTAATTCATTCACGTGACTTCATTTTTCCTGGACACCAGACCAGAGCTCAGGAGCCATGAGTGTGGATACAAAAGGCTGTCACACTGGCCCTTTGCCCTCGCTGGCAGAGGGCAGCCACCTCATGCAAAAGGGTGAAAGGCCCACTGAGCTGTTAAGATTTGAGCCATCCACAGATGGCAGAGCTGAAAGAGCACTGCAACACACCCTCTGGGGTTTCAGGGGGTCATAGGCAACCCCACCTAGATGCTGTCACGGGACCCACATGGAGTTTGCTATTGCTGGTGCCCAAAAGCAGCTGACTGGATCCCATATTTGCTTGCCTACCTGCTCCCTCCCACAAGGGGCTGAGCATGGTGAGCCAAGTAAATGGAGTTTGTTCCTGCCAACACCCAAAAGCACTCGCTCTGGTTCCAGCACTCGTTTGCTCACACACTCCCTCTCACAAGGGGTAGACAGGGGCAGGCTGAATAAATGAGGCACCCCTGTCCTGAGTCCCTTGAAGGTGTCAAGAAAATACCCTGCTTCATTACCATAATAATTCTAATATTTAAATAATTTAAGGCCAGCATTATCTCTATTTTATGAATGGAGAAACTGAATAGCATAAAGTTACAAATCCAGAAACAGTTATATCCAGAGCTGAAACTTGCATAGGTCTGACTCTAAAGTTCGTACTCTTTCCACTGTCATGTTCACTGATAATTATATCCACTTATAAGACCAAAAAAAAAATGGAAGAAACCTAAGTGACCAATGATGAAATATTATGCAAATGTTTAAAGTAAAATTTAGAAACCTGAGATAAGTTCAAGGTAAAACATAAGAGTATTACAAAATCAAATTACAGAAACACATACAATATAATATTATGAACATGTATGGGTATGTACACCTAGGAAAAGTAATGAAAAAAAAATTAACCAAAATGTTATCTGTGGTTGTATCAAGTAATAGAACTAATGAATATTTCATTTTTCCCTTATAGTGTCTATGTTTTTCAAATGTATTAAAATGAGTATACATTTATTTAAAAGTCATAATAAAGTTATCTTTTTAAAGAGCAAATAAACAAGTTAGCTAATGTTACAGCTAGCAAGAGAAGAAATTGAACACAAATTATATATTTTAAGTAGATTTTATTCTCCCCAAAATACTCTGTAAAGAAGAGAAGAGTTCATGTTATCCAGTGAATTGATTATAGTTTTCCTTTACCGCATCATTTATTGTAGAAAAAATAAGCAGACTATTAAGAGGTAAATAAGAATTTTGTACATACTATAATTTGCAATGATACTATTAAGTTTGAATAATTAGTTCCTCTATTTCCTTTATTGATTCTCAGAACAAATTTATATCAAATGATCACTCAAACCATCAACATAAATACAATGTAATGTCAAAATTAAATGGCCTTGGAATCATTTAAGAGGCTCATCATTACTTTTAAATAAGATACTATACTTCTACAACTTTTATTTATAGCATCTTTGTCTTGAACATGAAAAATTTAAGGAGAGAAACTACCTATATTAGTTTAAAATTATAGGAGTATATAAGAAATAAACTGTCCAAACTTCCAATTTCATGGTCATAAACGTATTTAATGAGATATTTTACTGCTAATAAAATTTAGATTAATCTTGAAATTTATAGATGAAGATACTAGATGCTTAAAAAGCTCATATTTTATTTTAAAAATCTTAAATATTCTAGTAATATTAAATATTTAAAGGAGTAAGTCTATCAATAAATAAGCAGTAAGAGGAAAAAGAGTTATTAGATTTGATCTTTATGATGACAAGCTAAGATCAGGAAGAGAAGTAGAGAGTGAGCACTGCCTGCAATTGAGGCACCTCTGAATTAAATTAAAATATTGTATGTTTAACCATCACACTTTTATTGTAATATGAAACTTAGCACTACAATTAACTGACATGGGTGACAGATGATGAGACCGAACTATTTTTCCTTAAAGTGACAAGTAAAATAATAACATACCCTTAGTAGGTTTTATTTTTAGCAGTGATTAATTCAATTAATACATATGTTGTCAAATGCCAATGGGATACACTCTTTTCCAAGCAATAGACCTACTCATATTTTTTTCCACTCAAGTGAAACTTAACTCATCTAAAACACATCCATTACTAGAGGGAAAAAAGTTGTTTTTATTTATCGTATTTCATGGTCCAGTTCTCTTATTTCACAAGTACTGAAACTGAGTGCCAGTTTCCAAAACATTGAAACATAAGTAATTCATCAAATGTAAAAATCATTATTGATATTGCTGCACCACCATTTTAGGTAGCACTGAAAGGGAAAAAAGCTTCAATTGTTGTATGATGTCATTAGGACAAATCCCAAATTCAGTGACTGTAAAATGTATTAAGACTGTGTGTCTTAGGAGCAATTAAATAGTGGGTAGTTGATTTTAATGAATTTAAAGAGTTCATCCAAAAAAATGTAACTTAAAGGGCTATAAAAAAAATAGTGTTCAGTAGCAGGATGAAGCAACTATAGTCAACAATCATCGCATATTTCATAATAGCTGGAAGAGAAGATTTGGAATGTTCCCAAAACAAAGAAATGATAGGTGTTTCAGGTGATATATATCCCAATTACTGAGATTTAATCATTACACATTGTGTGATGCTATCAAAATATCACATATACCCCATAAATATGTACAACTTTTATGTACCCATAAAAATTAAAAATAAAAAAAACTTTAAAACAGAAATGAACAGGCCGGGTGTGGTGGTTCATGCCTGTAATCCCAGTACTTTGGGAGGCCAAGGCAGGCAGATTGCCTGAGGTCAGGAGTTCTTGACCAGTCTGACAACAGGGCGAAACCCTGTCTCTACTAAAAATACAAAAAGTAGCAGGGCATGGTGGCGCGCCTGTAGTCCCAGCTATTCGGGAGGCTGAGGCAGGAGAATAGCTTCAACCCACGAGGCAGAGGTTGCAGTGAGCCGAGATCGTGCCACCACACTCCAGCCTGGGTGACAGAGAGTGAAACTCCGAAAGAGAAAAAGAGAGAAAGAGAGAGAGAAAGAAGAGAAGAGAAGAGAAGAGAAGAGAAGAGAAGAGAAGAGAAGAGAAGAGAAGAGAAGAGAAGAAAAACAAACAGCTGAAGTAAGATCTTGAAATTGGCTTAACTACAGATAAATCAGCAATTAATATTCAATAGAATATCCTAGCACTTTAAGATGCTGAATTATTGTCAGAGTAAACTACTAAACATTCTTTAAAAAGCTTTTTAAAATAAAACAAGATATATAACAAAAAAAATCTTGGCTTATAAGTAACTAAGAAGTTAATCTTTAATTATAACTCTGAAGAATAGTAAATACTAAACCATTTAAAAGTATAAGAAACATTTAAAAATTCTTTAAAGTATCACCCTTTTTACATGTAAGGAAACATAAGACAACCAAAACACTATGATCATTAATTCTTTGTTAGATTTTTAAACTTAAAGATATAATTATTGGACAAAGTTAGAATATTTCCATCTACAAATACTTCTTAGGCAAATACCATCTGCCAGACACTGCTATCAGAACTAAAGATACAGAGGAGAACAAAGTAGACAAAATCCCCTTCCCAAATGAAGCCTACCTTCTACTGGGGAAGACAAATAATAGAAAACACTCACAAGTGAAATATGTATGTATTAGTGATAAATGTTAAGGAGAAAAATAAAGCAGAGAAGGAAGATTTCTGCTATACTGACTCCGCCATTCCACCAACAACATAAATTCTTAATCCTCAAATCCTTAAAATATTTTTAAAATAATCAGGACTTTGTCAGGCTAAAAAAGAGAAGAAAAAGCATTTTAATAGCTACACATTTTCTGAGAATACTACCCAATGTTAAAATAAAGGCTTCAGGTTCTGAACAGAACAAACAGTCCAATCTACTAGCCCAGCCATTGCAGGCTTCTAAACAAGCATCTTGATGACAGACTGCGATCGCAGTGATGGGTGGAAAGCAGCGGACCATTTAGAAAACTCAGGATATGGACGGGCATGGTGGCTCACAGCTGTGATCCCAACACTTTGGGAGGCCGGGTCGGGCAGATCACGAGGTCAAGAGATCAAGACCATCCTGGCCAAAATGGTGAAACCCCGTCTCTACTAAAAATACAAAAAAATTAGCCAGGTGTGGTGGCGGGCACATGTAGTCCCAGCTACTTGGGAGGCTGAGGCAGAAGAATCGCTTGAACCCAGGAGGTGGCGGTTGCAGTGAGCTGAGATCACACCACCGCACTCCAGCCTGGCGACAAAGCAAGACTCCGTCTCAAAAAAAAAACAACAAAAAAAGTAAACTCAGGATATATAGACAAACTATGCCTATCTAACTTCTGGAAAATCCACCAAAAAAGGAACAGGGTAAAGCTGGGAATTGTGAATAGAAAATCACGGAAATCTGGCAGCAGAAACAGGGTAGAGTTGGATCCCAGGGAATATGGCAAAGAACGTCCTCCTACATGAGAATATGTAGGCAAATCCCTATCTTTTTCCTACATATGAGTATTATACAAAAAGACCACATTCCTTGGGAACACAAAATAAGAGTGTAATAACAATGCTACCAATGGTAAAACTCACTCACCACGACCTGAAATTCTCATTGAGTCAGTATGTTACAGAGTAACAGAGAATAGAGCCTGGAGCTATCTCAAACATCGGAGGCACAGAGGCTGTGTTCCTGCCACCTGCCTTGGAAAGTTGTAGCATAAGGGTCAACGTCAAAACTAAATTAAGAAGTATAAACTCACTTTGGGTTTGCTGCTTCTCCAATATTCCCCCATAAACACATTTAAGTGGTTAACAAGCAGTGCAAATTTTCTCATTGACATTCGGCTGTCTGATAGACTAATTGTTAAATAAACATATTTTCCCCAGAATTCAATATACCATTTTCATTTAAAAATGTTTAAACTACAACACATAAAAATAGCTTTCTTAAGCTTGCTCCATGATTAAAAAAAACAACAACAACAAAAAAAACTATTTACTTATCACATCCCAGAGCTGAGCAATGTTCCTCCAGGTGCAGCCTCACTGAGATCTTGCCATAAAGAGTGAGGAAGACAGGAGGCAGATGCAGCCACCATTACTAGAAAGCTTTAATCACTTTAGTCTTTGGCTACCTTTTCATCTCTGAGCAAATAAAGCATACATACCAAGGAAAGTATTGTTAAGTAATGATGTCTGGAGAGATGCTAGGGAAGTCCAAAGATGACAGAAAGAAAAAGAAAGAAAAAGTCCCTGAATGTAAAGTTACAAGCATAGTTTATATTGTGTAACTAACGGGAAAAGTAATCAAACTACCAAAATGTTATTATCACTGCCTTCAAGAAGATAACCTCAAAGTGAGATAAAGAAAATGGTCATTCTTACAGAATGTGCCATATCTCATGTTCTCTAATAACTTTCTGGATATTATTTATTTTAAGCTATTATAGTTCTATGACATGAATAGCGTATTCTTACTGTTTTATTAAGTGAAGAAAAAAAATCTCTTTCACGTGGCCAAAAACACTTGTAAATCAAAGTTATCTATTCTAGGCCAGGCGCAGTGGCTCATGCCTGTAATTCCAGCACTTTGGGAGGCTGAGGCAGGCGCTCACTTGAGGTCAGGAGTTCGAGACCAGCCTGGTCAACACGGTGAAACCCCATCTCTACTAAAAATACAAAAAATTAGCCGGGCATGGTGGCGTGCACCTGTAATCCCAGCTACTCAGGAGGCTGAGGCAGGAGAATCGCTTGAACCCAGGAGGTAGAGGCTGCAGTAAGCCAAGATCATGCCACTGTACTCCAGCCTGGGTGACAGAGCAAGACTCCATCTCAAGAAAAAAAAGAAAGAAAGAGAAGGAGAGAGGAGAGGGGAGGGGAGGAGAGGAGAGGAAAGGGAAATCTATAATAGAAGAAAAGAGAATACAGTTACAGAAAGTTACTTTACAATAAATGTGGTTGGTGGGCATAATAATCTCTAACAACAGGGTCGTATTTGTGACAATCCCTACTTTCTGAACGGCTATGGTTGTATGCAGCCTTCTCAATTCAAATACCATCAATCATTACCCTAAGAAGATGTTAAAGGTGTTTCTACTTCTACTTAGCAGAGTTGGAGAGTGCACAAAAGGTTTACAAAGGCTTTCTTATATAAAAATATGTGAGGAAACTATCCCTTAATTCCATAGTTTTATTTTTCCATAAACTTAGAAAACTTGAATATACAACAACTTTGGATATATTTTGTCATAAATTCCTATCTCCTTCCTACATATGAGTATTATATAAAAATAGCTCAAACACTTGGTTGTCTTGCTTCCCCTTGTGAACTCCAAGGTAAAATAATTGTTCCATTACAGGCTAATATTTCCCCAAGGACCGTCTCTCTCTTCATAGAACTTCCAGAATTTGTTCCCTAACTGCTCCATACCACCTCTTAGGGAACAGCTAGTTGTGTTAATGAAAATTTTCCTGTATAAATCTACCATATCAAGCACTTGTCAACAATTTCAAATAACCTAATATTAGTCATCAAACTTAGGTTTTTAACTCTGATGTAGTTTAAATTAAAGCCAGTAAAATGAAAAAAAAATTTCAGGCATGAAAGTTAAGTCCTAAACTCTCTTGAGAATATTTACAAATATAGACATAGGCAAGTGAAGGCTATGCAATTCCCCAGTTACTGGAAGATTTTCCACAGAGTTGAGTATAGAGTTCATTGTTTAAAGAACGTCCACTTCATAATGGATTTCTCATTGAAAAAAGTATTGTGACCAATTTTTAAATCTGCATTTTTTTCTTTATTCTTTGCACTTTGAATAAGCAGTCATATGTCTTTTTCTTATAGCAAAAATTTTACATTAGTTTTTCCATGGGTACTTAAATGTTCTACTTTCTTCTAAAACTGAACTATCATTCACTGCAATTATTCCTGATGCTATTTTTGTTCCTAACATTATATTTTTTATTCTTCTGATAATTTTTAGAGAAAAGCAATTAAAACATTTTACAATTTAAATATTTATAAGTAGGTTATATGAGAAGAATTCTCACTTTCACTTAGGTAGGTTTAAAGCTAATTTTAGCTCCAACATGTGTTCTCATGCAGTGTATTCCCAGAACAAGAAAAATTACCAGGGCTGTAAATCAGAAACAACACAGTACTAAGTATCCAACAAAATTGTGTTATTGCCACTTTAACATGTGGTGAGAAAGATACAACATGGCATATATCAACTTTCATCCCATTTCAAAAGTCAATATTTAAACTAAGGGTATGCAAAGCCACAGCTCTGTGTTGCAAGATTCAAAATCTTTTTTTTACAACTGTATGGTGGCATGTCCATTCTCTCTAAGTGCTCTCCTGGCTAATGCTTTCCCTATGTGCAAATGAACTTGCTTTCCAATGTTTCCTTGTCTTTTCCAATTCCACAAATGTTTCACTGTTGGAACACAGTGTTGTTGCTTTAAATACTGATCAGAGCTGTTGAGTGCCTTAAGATGTGTTTATCATATCAATACTCCTGTGCATATGTGTAAACATGAGAACACATACACTCTCACACACACAATTTACTCTTTCAGTCTAAATCAAAATATATTTTACTTGAAACACATTCACCAGGAAGAACACTTCTTCAGTGTACTGCCAGATAAATTCAGGGCCTCAAATTTGAAAACCTTTAACAAAAGTTATTAATTGTCTATGTTTTCTCCAATCTCTTTCAATGTGTTAAACTGGGAGAAAATAAATTTGTAGACAAAGCAAAAAATAGCTTATAACTTTGTAACTTCAATTTGGAATATCTTATATAACCCAGGCCAGAAAACAAATGGATTTGCATGGAGTCTTTGGAATACCTACATCTTTTTTGGAGTGGGGAGGATGGGGAGCTCCCCTTAGATTTCTCCAGTTATAAGAAATGCCATAAAAAGAGTTAAGTTTGGTGGAATGTCTGCTATGTGCCAGGCTTTTGATATATGTTAGCTCAACTAATACAACGATATACACAAGAAATATGAGATGAGAACTCTGTAGGTAAGCAGATAAAGCTAACTAAGGTGACAACAAAAGATACTATGTACAGTGTTCCAATAGAATATATAACTTTCATAAGGTAAATAACGTACATATGGCAAGAATGTGTCTTATTATTTTAATTATTAGGATATTTAAGGTAAGCAAAATAGGTAGGGGTTAATGTCTGACTAATCCACTTGCTAAAATATATGAATCTGAGTGGTACTGGGAAGCTCCGCACATCAAGTTCTAGTTTATGTGCTGTGGACAATAAAGTGATAGATGCAAAACACAGAGGTATAGCAGAAGATTTCTTAGATGAGTTAGAAGTCAGCATGGTCTTGAAAGAAATTCAGCATTAGAATAGGCAGGGGCAAGGGTACTCTGGTAGGAGAATACCATTTGTGTGAAGACCAAGGGTTGGAATATACCTGAAACATTTAAATATACTAACATAGCTAGAAGGGAACACTGAAAGCGTTTAAGACAAAACTCTCATTTCAAAGATAAGAAAACCAAGTCTCCAAGTGGTTAAATGGTTTTCCCACAGCTACAGGCAGGGCCTGATGAAAAACACTGCTAACCTGTTGTAAAAGCCAATGTTATTTCCATTCTAACAGTGGTTTCCCATGAGGCCCTAGGGATTCAACAAATCCTAGTGGAGACTTAGAAGGAGAAATGGCATCTCCGCTTTAATCCATTTTATATATTATACTTCTGATGAGATTTATTTGAAGAAAGATTCTTTCTGTGTTAACAAAGCACTCTTCAAGTCCTCATCAGTGATTAATCAACATTGTTGAGTTATGTGCTATGGGACACAGACACAGCCATAGAAGAAAAAAGTCTTTGCCAAACCTATAGCTAGTATCATATTGAAAAGGGAGAAACTGAAAGCCTTTCCTCTAAGATCAGAAACAAGACAAGGATATCCACTTTTACCATTCTTATTCAACCTAGCACTGGAAGTCTTGGCCAGAGCAATTAGACAAGAGAAAGAAAGAAAGAAAGGACATACAAATTGTGAAGGAGGAAGTCAAATTATCTTTGTTTGTAGGTGATATATTTAGAAAAACCTGAAAATTCTACCAAAAAACTATTAGAACTGAAAAAGCAAATTCAGTAAAGTTGCAGGATACAAAATTAACATACCAAAATCAGTAGCATTTATATATGCTAAAAGCTAACAATCTAAAAAAGAAACCAAGAAAGGAATTCAATTTACAATAGCTACAGATAAAATACCAAGGAATAAACTTAACCAAAGAAGTGAAAGTTCTCTACAGTGAAAACTGTAAAACATTTATGAAAAAACTGAAGATAATACAAAAAATTGAAAGATATTCCATGTTCATGGATTAGAAGAATCAGTATCATTAAAATGTACATACTACCCAAAGCGACCTACAGATTTAATGAAATCCCTATGAAAATATCAATGACATTCTTCACAGAAATAGAGAAAACAATCCTAAAATTTACATGGAACCACAAAAGACCTAGAATAGCGAAAAAAATCCAAAAAGAACAAAGCTATGGGCTTCACGTTACCTGATTTCAAATTATATTACAACACTATAGTAATGAAAAAAGCATAGTACTGGCATAAAAACACACAGATCAGTGGAAAAGAACAGAGAACCCATAACTAGTTCCACAATTTATAGTCTACTCATTTTCTACAAAAGTACCATGAATATACAATGGGGAAAGGACAGTCTCTTCAATAAATGATGCTGGAAAAACTGGTTATTCATATGCAGAATAATGAAACAAGATCCCATCTTGTGCCATATACAAAAATCAAATAAAAGTGGATTAAAAACTTAAATGTAAGACCTGAAACCATGAATAACTATCAGAAAACACTGGGGAAATGCTCCAGGATGTTGGTCGGGGCAAGTATTTTTTTGTGTAAGACCTCAAAAGCATAGGCAACCAAAGCTAAATAGGTAAGTGGGATCACACGAAGCTGAAAAGCTCCTGCATAACAAAATAAACAATTAACAAAGTGGAGAGCTATCCTACAGAATGCAAAAAAAATTTATAAACTATTCATCTGACAAGGGATTAATAACCAGAAGATACAAGGAATTCAAACTCAATAAGCAAAACAACAAATATTAAGAATAATGATAATGATAATAATCCAATTAAAAATGGGCAAAAAACCTGAACAGACATTTCTCCAAAGAAGGTATACAAATGTCCAACAGATATATTTTAAAAAGTTCCATATCACTAATCATCAGAAAAATGCAAATCAAAACCACAATGAGTTATCATCTCTACCCCAGTTAAAATGGCCTATATAAAACAGACAGGTAATAATGGATGCTGGTGAGAATGTGGAGCAAGGAGAATGCTAGTACACTGCTGGTGAGAATGTGAATTAGTACAGCCATTATGGAGAACAGTATGAAGGTTCCTCAAATAACTTAAACTAGAACTACCACAAGATCCAGCAATCCTACTGCTGGGTATATATCCAAAATAAAAGAAATTAGTATACAGAACACATAGCTACATTCCCATGTTTATTGCAGCACCATTCATATTAGCCAAGATCAACCTAAGTGTCCATCAACAATGAATGGATAAAGAAAATGTGGTACATATACACAATGGAATATTATTCAGCCATACAAAAGAATGAAACCTGTCATTTCCAATAACATGGATGGAACTGGAGGACATTATGTTAAGTGAAATAAGCCAGGCACAGAAAGTTAAATATGGCATGTTCTCATTCATATGTGGGAGCTAAAAAAAAACTGATCTCATGGAGTTACAGAGCAGGATGATGGTTACCAGAAGCTAGCAAGGGTAGCGGAGAGAAAAAATTAAGAGATGTTGATTAATGGGTACAAACATACTGCTAGAAAGAATAAGATCTAGCCTGTAATCCTAGCACTTTGGGAGGCTGAGCCAAGAGCATCACTTGAGGTCATGGGTTCAAGACCAGCCTGGCCAACATGGCAAAACCCTGTCTCTACTAAAAATACAAAAATTAGCTGAGCATGGTGGCACACGCCTGTAGTCCCCACTACACAAGAGGCTGAGGCAAGAGAATCGCATGAACCTGGGAAGTGGAGGATTCAGTCAGCCAAGATTACGCTACCGCACTCCAGCCTCGGTGACAGAGCAAGACTGTCAAAAAAAAGAAAAAAGAAAGGAAGGAAGGAAGGAAAGAAGGAAGGAAGGAAGGAAGGAAGGAAGGAAGGAAGGAAGGAAGGAAGGAAAGAAAAGAAAGAAAAGAAAGAAAGAAAGAATAAAATCTAGTTTCTATGTTTCCATAGCACAATAAGGTGACTATAGTTAAGAACAATTTATTATATATTTCAAAATAACTAGACAAGTAAAATTGAAATGTTTCTAACACAAAGAAATGATCAATGTTTAAGGTGATGGATATCTCAATTACACTAATTTGGTTATCACACATCATATGCTTTATCACATGTACTCCCATAAATATTTACAACTATTATGCATTCATAAAAATTAAAAATAAAAAGTTTTAAAGTACGTTAAATAAACTAATTTATAAACGAATAGGAAATAATGTTAGCACACTTGAGTATGGAAAGAACATAGAGAATCATAAATGGCAAGCAAAAATGTTATGACCTAATGCTCCAGGAAACAGTCACTGCAAGTTTTTGATTACAGGAGTGACACAGCATAAACTCTGTTTAGGAAAGCTTGCCATGTTATAGTATGACTGATAGATAAATAATGGAATTTCAAATGATTTAAGGAAGCTTTTAATAAAGCAGTGAAAGTAGTTTAAATATGAGGCAAAAATATGTACCCTGATAAGGAATCAGCATGAATACAGAAAAAAAGAATGATAAAAGAGACATTTTCAAAGAAAGACAAATGAAATCAGTGAATAGACTACCTCAGAGATCAGCAAACATTTTCTATAAAGAATCGGGTTTTGCCGGCCATGTGGTCTCTGATAAAGCTACTCAACTCTTCACTGTAGCAGAAAAACGGCCATTGTCCTAGACAACACATAAACAAATGAGGGTGGCTGAATTTCAATAAAACTTCCTGTATATATAATAGGTGGTGGGCTAGATTTGGCCTGCAGACCATCATTTACTGACTCCTGAACCAGATACAGCTGGGGAGGGACAGTGGATCAGTCACTGGTATGTTCCACCATGAGTAACTGAAAACCTAAAAAAGCAGTGCTAAACAAAAGTTTGGCTCGCTCTCATTCTAAACAAAATCCACAGATAACAGACAGGTCTGTTAAGGCAACTCCACAATTCTGAAAGACTCAAGCTCCTTCTATACCATTATTTCACCAGCCTTAACATGTGACTTCTAGCACTTGCTTCAAGATATGAACTTGAGTTTGAGCCATGAAATGAGCATTCCAGCAAGCAGGAATGAAGAAGGGTACAAAAGGGCATGCCCCTTCATCTTAAGGACAAATCTGTAATTCACAAAACATTTCTGCTTGGCTAGTTGTCTACTGTCATATAAATGCCAAAAAGGATCACACTTGTTTCAAAGTAAGTGGCTCAATATCTTGAGCTTTTATCATTAATTCTCTCTAAACTAAAATATATATATATATATTTTTCATACACCTCTGGATTGTTAGCCTGTATAAAATTCCTTATTGGCTGAAAGCTACTCAATAAACTGTTTTCCTTCTGTCTGTAGTAATAAAACTATACAACACTATAAACATTTTCCATGTTAAACTCCAAGATATTTGGTTTTCTGGCTAGAAACAGTAGAGCTTTTGTTTTTAAAATTAAAGCAGACCCTTAGACCTAATTTACCTCAGAATGCCAAATATTTTTCTCTTCTGTTACGCTCTAACATTACTATCACCTATTCCAAAAACACATGACTTATGACTATATAAGAAACCGATGGTACCATCTCTGGGTAGTCCCTGAAAATGGCTCATTGATATAAAGAATAGGAAAAAACAAGAATGTCTGAAGATAAATATCTCTTAAAGGGTCTAGTATACAGGAGATTTATGCTGTGAAATTATGCTTATGATAAACAAGAGTCTTAATACTACAGCTGTACCAAGGAGATGTTTCACAGAGCACTGGTTATACAGATAGGACATTTTCTTTTATCGAAATAATTTGACTTTCCTTAAAAGATAACTCATGACAAAAGCTGCCATCTTAAAACATGAAGATTTACTACATTTTTGGACCTTCATATTGGTAAAAAGAGACAAAAGCATCCCGGATAGTTCTAATTAGATAAAGGAGTTGGTCTTTAGGACCATGCAGTAATTCAATATGTGTTGACACTAACTCTCAATTTAAACAATAATTCAAAGGATTTTATGCCTTTACTTTGACACTGAAAACATGCAGATAATTCGATTAACATTTAAATCTTTGAACACTAATTTTTAAAGGGCCTCTCACATTGACCTTTTAATTTTTTACTTTTAAGGAGATTTCAAAAATAATAAATAATGCACAAAACTTACCAAATTGCAACTAAAATCATACTCTCTACCCTAGATCTTATTTCAGATATATCTCAACTCACATAATATTTTTATTACCTGACATTTTAATCAAAGATCAAAAACTTCACTGGCCAAAGTATTTCCAAAGCTCTGTGAAGTAAATTAACTTTATGAAATGGAACCCAACTACATATTTTGTAATGAAATTTTATATTACATTTCAAGAAAAAATGCTGTCCTTATAAAGATAGCCAATGTGGCTCAGACAATAATAATGGTAAAAATATGTAAAAGAAATGTGAGAAGTAAGAAATATTTTAATAAACCCAAAGTAATATTCAACTTTGAGGAATCTCTGCAAAATGCTTACTGACTCATGGATTACCAATGAGTCCATCCTGACTGGGTCGGAGAAGGGGTCTTACTTTACAATGTTATCAGGCAGAAAGCAAAGGCAGAGGTGAGGTGGGAATAATTTGAACACATTGTTTCAAGGTGTTCTACATGTCTCATAAGACTGTAATACTTCAACTACCTTAACATTATCATGGATTACTAACAGGATCATTTAAAATGCTTTGGAAAAGGTATTTCATTCCACAAGTCATGTGTAAATGAATGCTTACTTTTTATACTAAAAATATAAAGAAATTTGTAGACTAAAAATCCCAAAATTCTTTCTGCGTCCCCCTCCAGTTCTGTAATCTTTAATATGGACTCCCCATCACTAGGATCATAGAGTTAAAACACCTTTTCGTGGCTTTCAAGCAACCCTAAAATCTGGTCTCCCTTATCCTACTGACACCTACCTTCTCAAGACTTCCACACTTCAGGCTCTTTTCCAGCCAAATCAGCTTCCTCGTGTTTCCAACTATACCATGCTCATTCCAAATCAAGATTTTAATCATTGTTTATAACTCCTGACCTGTAATCATTCTGCTTAAACTTGCATTACCATCCTCATTCCCTAGTTAAAGCCCTAATGTACTCATATGAGCCCCTGACCACTCCAGCCTGAGTCCTCTTATTTCAGAGTACAGAGATACAGGTTACCCACACTACTAATTATGACACCAGACACCATGAGAGCATCCTCATAATAAGAAATACACATTTCCAAACAACGACTAACACTGTGGACCTACTGTTATGAGCTGAATTGTGCTCCCCAAAATTCATACGATGAAGTCTCAGAATATGACAGTATCTGTAGACAAAGCCTTTAAAGAGGTAATTATGTTAAAACAAGGCTGTTAGGGTGGTCCCTAACCCAACATGACTGGCGTTCTTATAAGAGATTAGGAGACAGAAGGAGACACCAGAGAGATGACACTCATAGAGGGACAATGATGAGAAGGAAGCAGCAAAGGGTAGCCAAATGAAAGCCAAGGAGAGAGGTCCCACAAGAACCCAACCCTATGGACATCTTGTTCTTGGACTTCCAGCCTCCAGAACTGTGAGAAAGTTAATCTGTTGTTTCAGCCACCCAGTCTGCAGTATTTTGTTAGGGTAACCCTAGCAAGGTAATACACCTGCCATATGCCCAGACAGTATATACAATGTCTTACTTATGTAATACTTTACTCATCAACACAGCTCTGTATGGAAGGTGTGCTTATTATCCAAGGAAACGGAAAGAAATGAAGTAATCTGCTCAAGGTCTCACAGATACATGCTAGAGCTTAAGTCTGCTTTATTTTAAAGGTCATGATATTATCCACCATGTTGTATTAATCATATGTGAATGATCCAAATAGAACACTATTATTGCTTATTCTGCTTTCTCAGTAGAATGCTGATAAACGATGGATGGACTGAGAATTAGAAAACATTTTTTTACCTTTTATTCCATATATTTTTAAGAATATATATAGTAGTCAGTTTCCAAAGTTAATAATGGCCTACAAATCAACACACATGTTGATCTTGATTCCATCTACGCTTCTTATTTCATATCAAATATGAGTGATAACCCACCGTATACAACCTAATAAAAAGGTTACCATATTTCACCGATGCAAAAACCTGTATTTTTTACATTTTTAACATATTTGAAAAAGATACATCTTACAATCAGTAACATTTATCATCTTAGATCTCAAAGCGAAATGTATCTTAGATCTCAGAGTTGATGAAATACTTTAATTCATTAACTGAAGTTATATGTTGTCTCTGAGACTTACATAAAAATGAATGATCACAAGACCATCTGATGCATTCCTGTGAGGAGCTAAAGGAACAGTAGAAAGGTGGGCCAGTCGAAGAAAAATATTTCTTACCTAAAGTTGCAGTGCAAACAATGAGGAAAGAAGAGGGAAACAAAGAAAGAAAAGAAAAAGAAAAAAGGGCACATGAAATTGCAAACAGCACTACAAGTAATAGAGCTCATTTTAAACATCCTAAAGTCTTATAAGAAAATGAAAAGACAAAAAGAAAAAGCCACAAAAAATTCTTATATACATTCTCCCACACACATGTTGCAAAAGGAAAAAAAAAAAAAAAAAAAAAAAAAAACACGAAACAGGAGGTGGACTCTCTGTACACAGTGTGTCCATAAAGTGGAAACCAGTCTCACACTTTATAGTCACACCTCATATACCGCCATGGAAGGCAGGCCTCCTAGGTGAGGCATCGAGTTTCACAGGCATGCTCAAACACAGGATTGTTAACACTAATCCCCAGCAAGATCTGTGAATGAGAAGAAAGAAAGATAGGTAAATAGCCTGGGAAATATGGCCCCAATTAGAGGACTCACAACACTTGCCCTATTGATTATCTGTTATTTTGCCAAATGAATAAACCAGTAACAGTCATTGAATGCTGTGTGTATCAACATAGTAATCTACAATTTAAAAGACTGCTTTACAATTTTTACCACAATGATGCCTGTGTTCATCTTTAGTTACCTCTTAATTTATATTTCTACTTGAAAATATGCAGTTTTCTTTGATGTCACAAGTAATACGACCTAAAGCCCATTAGAAAAAGATGTAGTTACAATTACACTGAAACTGAGCCTTTTTGAAGAGTTAAAAAAAAAATTAAATTCTTTCTTTAAACAACACAGTAAAAATCAAACTCTACTTCCATCAAAGGGCTGCCAAAAATACTACTGATGGGATTTGCCAATGATCCATAATTCATATTATAAAGTATGATAAGAGCACACTAAATCTGTTAAAGTTGTTAAAAAGTAAATTCTGGTCTGTTATTGTCACCCAGGTATCTAGAAATTAAATGCAGAACTCTATTCTATAAATGTTCCACAAACTCAGTACTCTGTTCTTTTTTCTTTCTGGAGATGAGCTTTACCAGTTAGTTTTCATCATACAAACAAGAAACCATTAAAATCTGATGTGCTGACCTCAATTAAAAAAGAAGGTTAAAATAAGCTACCCCACATTCCAAAACATAAAAGCCTCTTATCTTTTTGTGTTATTGTTAATAATTATATTATGTCTTTATGGGGAGGGGGTTATCATAAAAACAATTTTTATTTAAAAAGAAACATGTGCTTTGGGAGACCGAGGTGGGAGGATCACTTGAAGCCAGGAATTTGAGACCAGCCTGGGAAACACAGCAAGACCTCATCTCTACAAAAAGGTAATTAAAAATTAAAAAAAAGAAACAAACAGGTGAACCTAAAACTCTCTTCTAAAAATAAGTCTTTAAATACGTAGAAAGAAATTACAAGGCATGTTTGGTTTTAAAACTACTGATGAACTATAATTTCAAAACGTAAGATACCAAGAATTTGTAAAGGTTTTCATTTTATTGCGAACTTAAAAAATAAAGTATAACTTGTAATCACAAACACAACTAAATAAAATCTATTGGCAACATCTGATTCCTCATTTATAAAATGAGGAAAGAGTATTTGCTGCCTCAGAGACCTATTGCAAGAATTAAATGTGTTGGCCAGGCACGGTGGCTAAAGCCTGTAGTAATCCCAGCACTTTGGGAGGCCGAGGCAGGCGGATCACCTGAAGCCAGGAGTTCGAGACCAGCCTGACCAATATGGTGAAACCCTGTCTCTACTAAAAATACAAAATTTAGCCGGGTGTGGGGGCGTGCACCTGTAACCCCAGCTACTCAGGAGGCTAAGACAGGAGAATCGCTTGAACCCAGGAGGCAGAGCTTCAGTGAGCCGAGACTGTGCCACTGCACTCCAGCCTGGGTGACAGAGCGAGATTCTGTCTTTAAAAAAAAAGAATTAAATGTGCTAATACGTGTAAAGCATGAGGAACAATGCCTAGCATAGCATGCACCTGCTAGTGTTTGCTCTTAGGATTAGTAACAGTATTGACTATTAGTATTAACATTATTAGCACTGACTGAAGGTCCAGTCCACCTCTATCTAGACACATACAAATCTATTTAAGGCATGTCCCACAGGAAGACTCTTCTCTGTAACTCAGCTCTTACACACATGACTCTCTTCTAAACTCCTACTGCTGCTAGTCTGACTACACATCCTAGATTTTAATTAATTTTCATTTTTCACTGCTGTGTATATTAAGCTTAAGTAATCACATGGATATAAAGTCCTTAAAAAAGGAGATCATGAAACACAGTTTCTGCTGTCTTCTCCAGTTCTCAAGCCTCAAGCCCTGAAGGAAGCAACTCTCTTCAGAGCAGTTGACAGAAATTGAATCATCTTCAGCTAACACTAGTTATAGGCAAGGCAGAAGATGCTAAACACCATAACGGTACTGATCACATTCCCACTTTTCAGGTGCCTTCCAGTTTAACTACAGAGATAGAAATATGCATACTATAAAGCAACATAAGTTCTAAGCTAAATCATACACCCACTACAATTCTTGCTGTTTGGAAGTCTAATGATGGAAAGATTAAAAGTATAAGGGGGTTAGGAAAGACCTAATGGAGACAGACTGTGAATGTGAAGGGTAAGTCTTATATAATAATAATAACAGTAGTAAGAATTACCAGTAAAAGAGCATTTAGCATCATGTTAAATAATTTTCATACAATAAGCAAAACAGCTAATATATATTGGGTGTTCAGTATGCATCAGGAACTATTCTAAGTGCTTTATAAATATTAACACTTTTGATCTTCAGAATATCCCTTTTGAGATATATATTGTGGTCTCCATCATTTAAAAAAGAAAACTAAAAGGGAGACACAGAAAATATAAATATGATCATACAGCTTATTTGCCCAAGATCACTCAGCTCATAAATAGAAAGACTGAGTTATAAAACCAGGACCGCAGGCTCTCAAGTCCCACTCTTTATCATTATGCTTAACTAGTCTCTTTATGGGCTCATCTAATTCTCATCACAATTCTGCAAAGGTGGTTGTGCATTCCACATACTGAAATCTATGTAAACAGAGTCTTTGGCATGTGCATTGCACAATCTGAGCAGCCATATGTGGCAGCCTTAATGATATGCATTGCATAGGTAGAAAGTTTAATAATCTAGCCAAAGCTGCAGAGTTTGTATAGTCAAGATCTGAAATGCAGTCAGTCTCACTCTTTTCACTCAGCCATGAAGTATATGAGTAGAAAATAAATGTTGAGAACATGTTAGACGGAGAGAAAAGAATCAGGAAAGCTAAGGTATAGTAATGAGCGAGAACTGTTCTGGGCTCCAAGGAATAAACCAGTCTCTGGTTTGGTCAGAGAGAGAATAGGATGAAAACACGCACTTCATCTCCCATCTGACAACATGCTCTCTAACCAGTTTAGAGAAGAACATAAAAGACCTGATGGAGCTGAAAAACATAGCACAAGAACTTTGTGAAGCATACACAAGTATCAATAGCCAAATCGATCAAGTGGAAGAAAAGATATCAGAGATTGAAGATCAACTAATAAAATAAAGTGTGAAGACAAGATTAGGGAAAAAAAATGAAAAGGAATGAACAAAGCCTCCAACCTCCAAGAAATATGAGACTATGTGAAAAGACCAAACCTATGTTCCACTGGTATACCTGAAAGTGATGTGGAGAATGGAACCAAGTTGGAAAACACACTTCAGGATATTATCCAGGAGAACTTCCCCAACCTAGCAAGACAGGCCAACATTCAAATTTAGGAAATACAGAGAACACCACAGAGATACTCCTCGAGAACGGCAACCCCAAGACACATAATCGTCAGATTCATCACAGTTGAAATGAAGGAAAAAATGTTAAAGGCAGCCAGATAGAAAGGTCAGGTTACCCACAAATGAAAGCGCATCACGCTAACAGCGGATCTCTCTGCAGAAACCCTACAAGCCAGAAGAGAGTGGGGGCCAATATTCAACATTCTTAAAGAATTTTCAACCCAGAATTTCATATTCAGCCAAACTAAGCTTTATAAGTGAAGGAGAAATAAAATCCTTTATACACAAGCAAATGCTGAAGGATTTTGTCACTACCAGGCCTGCCTTACAAGAGCTCCTGAAGGAAGCAGTAAATATGGAAAGGAAAAACCGGTACCAGCCACTGTAAAAACAAAACAAAATGTAAAGACCGTCGACACTATGAAGAAACTGCATCAACTAATGGGCAAAATAACCAGTTAGCCTCATAATGACAGGATCAAAATCACACATAACAATATTAACCTTAAATGTAAATGGGCTAAATGCCCCAATTAAAAGGCACACACTGGCAAATTGGATAAAGAGTCAAGACCCATCAGTGTGCTGTATTCAGGAAACCCATCTCACGTGCAGAGACACACATAGGCTCAAAATAAAGGGATGGAGGAAGATCTACCAAGCAAATGGAAAACAAAAAAAAAGCAGGGGTTGCAATCCTAGTCTCTGATAAAACAGACTTTAAACCAACAAAGATCAAAAGAGACAAAGAAGGTCATTACATAATGGTAAAGGGATCAATGCAACAAGAAGCGCTAACTATCTTAAATATATATGCACCCAATACAGGAGCACCCAGATTCATAACATAAGTTTTTAGAGACCTACAAAGAGACTTAGGTTCCCACACTATAATAGTGGCAGAGTTTAACACCACACTGTCAATATTTGATAGATCAGTGAGACAGAAAATTAACAAGGATATTCAGGACTTGAACTCAGCTCTGGACCAAGCAGACCTAACAGACATCTACAGACTCTCCACCCCAAATCAACAGAATATACACCCTTCTCAGCACCACATAGCACTTACTCTAAAACCAACCACATAATTGGAAGTACAACACTCCTCAGCAAATGCAAAAGAACAGATACCATAACAAACAGTCTCTCAGACCACATTGCGATCAAATTAGAACTCAGAATTAAGAAACTCACTCAAAACCGCACAACTACATGGAAACTGAACAACCTGCTCCTGAATGACTACTAGGTAACTAACGAAATTAAGGCAGAAATAAATAAGTTCTTTGAAACCAATGAGAACGAAGACACAATGTACCAGAATCCCTGGGACACAGCTAAAGAAGTGTTTAGAGGGAAATTTATAGCACTAAATGCCCACAGGAGAAATTGGGAAAGATCTAAAATCAAAACCCTAACATCACAATTAAAAGAATTAGAGAAGCAAGAGCAAACAAATTCAAAAGCTAGCAGAAGACAAGAAATAACTAAGATCAGAGCAGAACTGAAGGAGACAGAGACACGAAAAACCCTTCAAAAAAATCAATGAATCCAGGAGCTGGTGTTTTGAAAAGATTAACAAAATAGATAGACTGCTAGCCAGACTAATAAAGAAGAAAAGAGAGAAGAATCAAATAGACACAATTAAAAAATGATAAAGGGGAGATCATCTCTGATCCCAAAGAAATACAAACTACCATCAGAGAATAATATAAACACCTCTATGCAAATAAACTAGAACATCAGGAAGAAATGGATACATTCCTAGACACACACACCCTCTCAAGACTAAACCAGGAAGAAGTCGAATCCCTGAATAGACCAATAACAAGTTCTGAAATTGTGGTAGTAATTAATACCCTACCAACCAAAAAAAGCCCAGGACCAGACGAATTCACAGCCAAATTCTTCCAGAGGTAAAAAGAAGAGCTGGTACCATTCCTTCTGAAACTATTCCAAACAAAGAAAAAGAAGGACTCCTCCCTAACTCATTTTATGAGGTCAGCATCTTCCTGATACCAAAACCTGGTAGAGACACAACAAAAAAAGAAAATTTCAGGCCAATATCGCTGATGAATATTGATGCAAAAATCCTCAATAAGATACTGGCAAAACGAATCCAGCAGCACATCACAAACCTTATCCACCACGATCAAGTCGGCTTCATCCCTGGGATGCAAGGCAAATCAATAAACTTAATCCATCACATAAACAGAACCAATGACAAAAAGCACGTAATTACCTCAACAGATGCAGAAAAGGCCTTCGATTAAATTCAACAGCGCTTCATGCTAAAAACACTCAATACACTAGATACTGATGGAATGCATCTCAAAATAATAAGAGCTATTTGTGACAACCTCACAGCCAATATCATACTGAATGGGCAAAAGCTGGAAGCATTCCTTTTGAAAACCAGCACAAGACAAGTATGCCCTCTCTCACCATTCCTATTCAACATAGTATTGGAAGTTCTGGCCAGGGCAATCAGGCAAGAGAAAGAAATAAAGGGTATTCAAATAGGAAGAGAGGAAGGCAATTTATCTCTGTTTGCAGATGACATGATTGTATATTTAGAAAACCCCATCATCTGAGCCCAAATCTCCTTAAGCTGATAAGCAACTTCAGTGAAGTCTCAGGATACAAAATTAATATGCAATAATCACAAGCATTCCTATACACCAATAATAGAGAGCCAAATCATGGGCAAACTCCCATTCACAATTGCTACAAAGGGAATAAAATACCTAGGAATACAACTTACAAGGGATGGGAAGGACCCCTTCAAGGAGAACTACAAAACACTGCTCAAGGAAATAAGAGAGGACACAAACAAATGGAAAAACATTCCATGCTCATGGACAGGAAGAATCAATATTGTGAAAATGGCCATACCAATTTATAGATTCAATTCTATTCCCATGAAGCTACTATTGACTTTCTTCAGAGAATTAGAGAAAACTACTTTAAATTTCATATGGAACCAAAAAAAGGCCATATAGCCAAGACAACCCTGAGCAAAAAGAACAAAACTGGAGGCATCATGCTACCTGACTTCAAACTATACTACAGGGCTGTAGTAATCAAAACAGCATGGTACTGGTGCCAAAACAGATATATAGACCAAAGGAACAGAAACAGAGGCCTCAGAAACAACACCACACATCTACAACCATCTGATCTGTGACAAACCTGACAAAAACAAGCAATGGGGAAAGGATTCCCTATTTAATAAATGGTGTTGGGAAAACTGGCTAGCCATCTGCAGAAAACTGAAACTGGACCCCTTCCTTACACCTTAAACAAAAATTAACTCAAGATGGATTAAAGATTTAAACATAAGACCTAAAACCATAAAAACCCCAGAAGAAAACCTAGGCAATACCATTCAGGACATAGGCATGGGCGAAGACTTCATGACTAAAACACCAAAAATAATTGCAAAAAAAAAGCCAACATTGACAAATGGGATCTAATTAAACTAAAGAGCTTCTGCACAGCAAAAGAAACTTATCATCAGAGTGAACAGGCAACCTACAGAATGGGAGAAAATTTTTGCAATCTATCCATCTGACAAACGGCTAATATCCAGAATCTACAAGGAACTTAAACAAATTTACAAGAAAAAAACAACCCCATCAAAAAGTGGGCAAAGGATATGAACAGACACTTGCAAAAGAAGACATTTATGTGGCCAACAAACACATGAAAAAAAGCTCATCATCACTGGTCATTAGAGAAATGCAAATCAAAACCACAATGAGATATCATCTCACGCCAGTTAGAATGGCGATCATTAAAAAGTCAGGAAACAACAGATGCTGGAGAGGACGTGGAGTAATAGGAACGCTTTTACACTGTTAGTAGGAGTGTAAATTAGTTCAACCATTATGGAAGACAATGTGGCAATTCCTCAAGGATCTAAAACTAGAAATACCATTTGACCCAGTAATCCCATTACTGAGTATATACCCAAAGGATTATACATCATTCTACTTTAAAGACACATGCACACGTATGTTTATTGTGGCACTATTCACAATAGCAAAGACTTGGAACCAACCCAAATGCCCATCAATGACAGATTGAATAAAGAAAATGTGGCACATATACACATGAAATACTATGCAGCCATAAAAAAGAATGAGTTCAGGCCGGGCGCGGTGGCTCACGCCTGTAATCCCAGCACTTTGGGAGGCCGAGGCGGGTGGATCACGAGGTCAGGAGATCGAGACCATCCTGGCTAACAAGGTGAAACCCCGTCTCTACTAAAAATACAAAAAATCAGCCGGGCGCGGTGGCAGGCGCCTGTAGTCCCAGCTACTCGGGAGGCTGAGGCAGGAGAATGGCGTGAACCCGGGAAGCAGAGCTTGCAGTGAGCCGAGATTGCGCCACTGCAGTCCGCAGTCCGGCCTGGGCGACAGAGCGAGACTCCGTCTCAAAAAAAAAAAAAAAAAAAGAATGAGTTCATGTCCTTTGCAGGGACATGGATGAAGCTAGAAACCATCACTCTCAGCAAACTAACACAGGGACAGAAAACCAAACACCATGTGTTCTCACTCATAAATGGGAATTGAACAATGAGAACATATGGGCACAGGGAGGGGAACCTCACACACCAGGGCCTCTCAGTGGGTGGGGGGCAAGGGAAGCAATAGCATTAGAAGAAATACCTAATGTAGATGGCGGGTTGATGGGTGCAGCAAATCACCATGGCACACATATATCTATGTAACAAACCTGCATGTTCTGCACATGTATCCCAGAACTTAAAGTATAATTTTAAAAAATGAATGAATGACTTTTCATTTGCAGACAAAAGAATACTAATAAACTGCTTAAAACATTCACTGCCTCCCTACTAGCTAGAAAGCAACACCCACACTCCTTGGCAAGGTATGCCTCACAACCTCTCGTCCCCAGACTCATCTCTCTATCTATACGCAAAGCCAGGCAGAGATAGTGATTTAGCAAATCTCTGTAGTTTAAAATGAAAGAAAAAGAGAAATAACCCAGGCGATTCTGTTGTCCACCCAGATTCTGGAATTAAAAGCTCTGATTTATAAATGAGGGAATTTCAGCCCAAACAGTTATCGAAGTTGCCCAAGGTTGTACAGTTCAATAAGAGAAACTGCAGGTCCTTCTTTAAAAAAAGGACCTGACCTCCTCAAAAACAGGAGCTACAATGCCGCATCCTTTATGTTCCTTGTTTTTCCTTTTTCCTTGCTTTTAGCCTTTATACAAATGAGGTGGATTAGATACCTCAAAAGCATTACTTACTCATTTGTTTTCCCGCAAAAATACTGGTTTTGTGCTTGACTTTCATATATTTGGCTTGGAAACCTGAGAATTTCTGGTCACAGACTCAAAGAACTATGAATGCCTCCTTGCTCTCTCTGGTACTACTCTGGCCTTTCTTCTACATTCCTCATTTCAGGTATCTCTTCATGCTTCTGAACATGTTTGATCTAGGGCTTCTCAAAGGGATTCTGGTGCATTACTGTAGAATTTACCACCTGGTATGGATAAAGGCTCTTTAGAAGAGTTTGAACTGTAAGCACACAACTAAAGTTAGAGAAAGGCAAGTACCTGTCACGATGGTGAATTAAGCTATGACCAGGAAGAAGCTAAGGACAGAGGTTTGGAGTCAGAAAATCCTGAGTGAATATCTTGTCTCCACCCTGTCTGATGTGTGTCACTGGAATGTAACTTGTTCCCCCATGTAAAGCACATCACAGGATCTTGAGAATTAAATGAGCTAGCATATATAAAGAACTTAACACATAATAGCAGTCAATGAATTGTAGCTAGTGGTAGTAGTTTAGCACAGTACCAGCAGCAGTAGTCATAATATGGTCTGAATCTATGAGTAATGGAAGAAAAAAGTGAAACTTGCTAGGTAAATGTAAGGCCATGAACAGCCAGAGGTGGTGCAGGTGGGAGGAGGCCTCCTTTCAGGAGAGACATTCCTTTCAGGAATGGAGTAAAATTGTAAGGAGGACTGGCGCTACAGGAGATAAGACAGACCAGACAATACGTAAGTAAATCTTACCTCGCCATCACTGACTACGTGCCCAGCAGGGACTGTCACACAAAGGTATGTGACATGACTCCAAAATCCTGTCTGTCTAGCAAACGCTTTACTTCAATCAACAAACACATTTGTATTAAACATCTGCTCCGCTCCAATCACACGGGTATACAAGCAAAGAAGTACTCCAGCTTTCAAGGATCTTACTATCTAAAGCAAACATAAATTAACATAAATGAACAACAGTCACCAATTAGCTCAAAGGCGTGGGCATCTGGAAAGAATTCTGACTATTTTTTTAAGATGGGCTATTCCTTGCCAATATTCCCAAACAAACTCACACTATCCAGTCTTTCGCTTTACCCAGTTTCTTAAAATCACCTTCTCCACAAGATAAGCACATGTAAAGGGTGTTAAGCCAATCTAATAGTTACACCTAAAATTTTCTTGACTAAAAATTTCACTTGTTAAAAGAGTTCACGGATGGTTGTCCTTGGAATTTCCTTCTGGAGTTAGTATTCATACATCAATTCTCTCATTTTTGAGTGGCAATAATCTAAAGTGAATCACAAAAACACACAAATCACGACCTCACATCCGTTTTACTAAAATTAGGTCATTCCCCTTTATTTACCCTTTTGGTTTTCTTGTTTGTTTGTTTTTGGGGGGTTTGTTTGTATGTTTTGAGACGGGGTCTCACTCTGTCACCCAGGTTGGAGTGCAGCAGAGTGATCTCGGCTCGCTGCAACCTCTGCCTCCCCGGTTCAGGCGATTTCCCCACTTCAGTCTCCCGGGTAGCAGGGGCCACAGGTGCTCGCCACCACACCTGGCTAATTTTTTGTATTTTTGGTAGAGATGGGGTTTCACCATGTTGCCCAGGCTGGTCTCAAACTCCTGAGCTCAGGTAATCCAACCGCCTCGGCCTCCCAAAGTGGTGGGATTACAGATGTGAGCCACCACGCCTGACCAAATTTGCCCTTTTGAATATCATGGCATAAACTACAAGGTTTACCTCCAAATACAGCAACTGAAAGGGAATAGAATATTTACCTAATGTTGGTTTATTTTTTGCTTGACTGGATGAACTAATTTAGCGATTAAGGCCAAAAACTCTAAAAGTGAAATAATAATTTTCAGCTATTCTTGGCAAACAGGTATTAAGGTTCAATTCTTGCCACAGAAAAATCAATTGTATGTAGCTTATTTCAAATCTGATCCTGTGCCTTCCGTAAGAAGCTGTATTATAAGACCTTCCCCAAAGCAGTTTTTTACTCTATGTATTAGATGTTTCACCCATAAAATCCTCACTTCTAGTTAAGTGATATATAAAAACTGGTAAAACTGACAGAAGCTTAGAGCCACTATTCCTTAACAAACAAGATTTGATATTTTTGTAAAGCTACAAATAATTTTCCTTATTTAATGAGAAATTAAGAAAGAAAAACGAATACTTTATATTCTTGAATGTTACCAAACAAGAATCAACTAATCTCCATTCAACGAAAAACTACAAAGATCTGAAAAACTAGAGTTAACTGCCAAAAGATTCGTAAGAGATAACACAAATATACTCACTAACATTCCATGGCAGTACTCACTACTTTTGACAAGAATAGTACATGAATATTTGCAAGATTATTGTTATTCTAAGAGTTTAGATTTATAATTAGAGAATTATAAAAGATATTCATCTAAAAATTTTCCCGTCTCAGGAATTCTGATCTGTTTAGAATACTCTGCAAAATTTTAAATATCCCTGAAAAGACATTATTTCAAAGTTATCACTTAGCTATTCTACTAGATAAAACAGACACATGGAAGGTATATAGTTTGTTCTGCACATCACAGTATTAATTTTTTAAAAAAGTATGATGAGGTCAATATATTATGTAAAAAACTATGCAGGTAGATCCATAATAGTTACATCAATTTCTCTGCTAAATGCTTGATTTTTGCTTTATTATTACACAAAAATATAACTTATATGTCATAAATATAACTCAGTGAGGTGTGGTGGCTCATTCTTGTAATCCTAGAACTTTGGAAGGCCAGGGCAGGAGGATTGCTTGAGCCTAGGATTTTGAGACCAGTCTGGGCAACACGGTGAGACCTCATCTCTGCAAAAAGTCAAAAAATTAGCTGAGCATGATGGCATGTACTTGTAGTCCCAGCTACTGGGGAAGAAGACAGTAAGGAAGATCCCTTGAGCCAGGGTTAGAGGTTGCAGTGAGCTATTACACCACTGCACTCTAGACTGGACAACAGAGCAAGACCCTGTCTAAACAACAACAACAAAAAAGAAGTAGATATATTTCTTCTCTGACACCTAAATAATCCATGGATACTGAACCAAGAGATGTTTTTCCCATCATCATATTAGATTATTAACTCTATGGAAAGAATAAGCATTTTTATTTTTTACCTTCAAGGACCAATAGTTCTTGTTTTTCTACTTTAAGGATGGTAAAGGGAACACTTATAAACTGGGAAATCTAGTCAAAGTTTCAAAACACAATTCAACTTTGGATATGCCACATCTATTGACATAAACTGCAATTCTATATTAATTCTGTGAAGTTATACTGAGCAAGAGGTAAAGAAAACCTTCTTAGCCAATGTGCTAAATGGCCGTTGCCCCTGTTTTCCCCTGTTGTGTTATGAAATGTTCCATACATGGGGCCTATGTCATTACTAGATCTGTTAACAGTTTCACAGCTGAGTTTGGCTTCATTTGTTAAGAATCAAGCTGCCCCATCACTTGTATAGAGCTGAACAGGCTGTTATGGTTTATAATGTAAAGCTCACAAAAGTGCACAGCTGCTGTTCATATTCTTAAAGAAGTCTGTTATAATAATGATGTCACGGAAAAAAGCTGGAATCTATTATGTGTCCCATACAGTCAGGCCATTCAATCTCTCCAGTCAATGTAGGTATACAGGTTGCACCATAAACATTATGGTAGCATTACAATAAGGCAATAAGTTCATTTTTAAAAAAAATCACTAAAGGCAGGTAATTAGGTCCTCTCCATAGTTCTGCTTTCAGTAAGCTTCACTTACCACTAGAACTAACCAAAAAGTATAAACATCATCATCATTTCACCGTCTAACACCCTATATGAACCACAGAGCTTTGCAAAAATTACATATAATTCCCTTGAAGGAAAACTGCACATGGTCGTCTAATTTCTCTTTAGTTATCACATACATGTCTACACAGTAAGCATGAATTGAATCATGTTCTCCAGGGAAATGCAAATCAATAATGCATTATTGATTTTAAGACCTTACAGCTATGTATTTAAAATCTGCTACCACTAACTATGGCATGTAATGTTAAGTAGTTTCATCCCGGATCAGAAGCAGATATGGAAGAGGAGTCCAGTTTCCTAATTTTAGTATTTTTTAAATAATAAAACATATAAACAATTTCCAAGTGAGAATTTCTTAATGACTTAAGAATATGTAAATATTAAATATTTCCTACTATAGGTTGAATATCCCTTATCCCAAACACTTGAGACCAGAAGTGTTTCAGGTTTTGGAATTTTTTGGATTTTGGAAAATTTGCAAATATGAGAAATCTTGGGGTTGGACCCAAGTCTAAACATGAAATTCATTTATGTTTCATATATACCTTATACATATTGCCTGAGGTAATTTTATATAATATTTTAAATAATTTTGTGCATGAAAGAAAGTTTTGTGGTAAGTACTTATGTGTGAAATTTTCCACTTTGTGGTATCATGTCGGTACTCAAAAGGGTTAGGGTTTTGGAGCATTTTGGATTTAGGATTTTCAGATAAGAGATTCACAACCTATATATACATATGCAACATTTAAATTACCTTAAATTCCAAATTAGAGAAGAGAAATTTTGAAATCAACTATGTAATTTACAACTATTAAAATTATTGGAATGTTCTTGAGATAAAAACAGAATGAATTCAGGACAATTAAAAAGCCATCTGCCATTAACTAGTTGTTTAATCTTGAGCAAATTATTTACAGCATTCCATTTCCATTTCTTTAACACGAAGAGCATGAGAAACAATGCTATAAAGTTCCACTTTCCTACAATAATATTTCTCAGCTTGTACTTACTAGGTATGGGAAAACCAAGAATCAAAATAATATCTAAGCCTTACTTGCTTGGTACAGGGCACTATCCTAAGCATGATACACATACTAATTCCTTTAACTTTCAAACAAACCTATGTAGTAGGTACTATTATTATCCTTATTTAGACCTGAAGACACAGAGGAACAGATATGCTGAGTAGATTATCAAATGTCACATAAATAGTGAGTGGAGGCAGACACGGTGGCTCACGCCTGTAATCCCAGCCCTTTGGGAGGCTGAGACGGGCAGGAGTTCGAGACCAGCCTGACCAATATGGAGAAACCCTGTCTCTACTAAAAATACAAAATTAGCTGGGCATGGTGGCGCATGCCTGTAATCCCAGCTACTCAGGAGGCTGAGGCAGGAGAAGCGCTTGAACCTGGGAGCAGAGGTTGCGGTGAGCCGAGATCGTGCCATTGCACTCCAGCCTGGGCAACAAGAGTGAACTCTGTCTCAAAAAAAAAAAAAAATAGTGAGTGGATGTATCCAGGCCGACTGATTTCCAGAGCCATCTCTTTTCACCTCCATACTACTCTGCATATACTGGGATATTCTCAGAATTAAGAGGACTAATTGTTATAATTTTCTAGTTAAAGGGAAAGGGTCAAAATTTAATTGTGGAAGGTTGACGACTGAAGATACTGCAGTGCCTTAAGAACACCGCCATGAATAAGCAACTCTACAATACAGTATCATGTATATGCGGAGAAAGTGTTAGATAGTTCCCTAGATCCTAATCAGTTTTATTCTGCCCACAAAATGCAAACATATACAGTGCTACAAAGAAAATCATATTTATCTGCATGAACATATTCTATCCTATGCCTACAACTCTAAGGCAACATTTCTTAACACCTGCTGGTTTTTGGAGTTGTACTCTGAGGCCAGAATTCAGTTCAATAACGGCATGTCATAAAGTGACAGCAATAGTTAAATTTGGTATCAGCTATAAGATGACATTTTAACATAGTATCTGTTACATATAACTACAATTTGAAAATGATATATTTCAACAATGATTATTTATAACTCAAGGCAAACCCTCCTTATCAGCATGGGAAACTCTTATTTAATTTGCTGCCTATTAAGACTTGTTTATTTGGCTGATTAATAACAAGTAAAGAATAGTTTTTTCTAAGTAGCATGAATAATAAAATTTCCAGAGGTTCTAAAGTTTGTTTTATTATCTTGACAAAAGTGTAATATAGTCACACATGTTCTCAGTCATTTACGATCACTAACCAAATAATTTTAAAGATACAAAAGAAATTATATAAAGACATGTTGTTTACTTCTTTATTAAGGAGGTAAAGCATAAGAGGTATTTTCCTCGACTTTAATAGACCAAATAGCATTAAAATTTGAGAGAATTCTGTCTTTCATTGAATCCTCATGCAGCAGGGCAAATAAAATTATTCTGACTCCATTTAAATTATTTCTTGCCACAATCTACACATCCAAAAATACATGGTTAAAGGAAAATCCCACTTATCAGTACCAGTGCTACATGCAAAACAATCTGAGACCTGCCACTTCTACCTACTTTACAATATGCAGGTAAGCCTCAAATTAGACTCTTCTGTCTTCTGGTCTTTTGCCTGTGCCAAAGAGCTATGTAACCAGATAATTCCTTTTATAGTAAATAGTCACCATACAAGGTAAGTGTGGAAACATTCTAAATCATTTGAAATGTTTGGGCACAGCTGGCAGAACACCTGTTGGAGACGGATGAGTGATGTCTGAGACGCAAAACAACAGAAGCAAGGGAATTTGCACATAACTTTCACTGCACACTTCTCAGCATCAATAATTTTAAGTTTACTGAGAGGTTTTGATGAAAAAGCAACAAATTAGAATTAGATTACGGTTTTATTCTCCTGGAAAACACAGAGCAATTCACTGAAAATACACCCAGAAAAAAAATGAATCATTACCAATTCAACAATCCTACAGATACGTGAAAAAGTCCTGTAAAATGATAATTTTCTTTCTTTTAAGTTGCCAACACCACCTGCTAACCTTTCATAATTTTAATCTCTTTTTAAATGTCTAACTTTATTTTGCAAATAAAAATTTTAAAAATCTATAAAGAAAATATTGATTTTAACTGTACTATTTTCAACTGCTAAATATTTATTCATTCAAAGAAAGTAACCAATACTTTTTCATTTTTTTTTTTTTTGAGACAGTTTTCACTCTTGTCACCCAGGCTGGAGTGCAGGGGTGCAATCTCGGCTCACTGCAACCTCTGCCTCCTGGGTTCAAGCAGTTCTCCAGCCTCAGCCTCCCGGGTAGCTGGGACTACAGGCGTGCACCACCATGCCCCACTAATTTTTTTGTATTTTTAGTAGAGATGGGGTTTCGCTATGCTGGCCAGGCTGGTCTCAAACTCCTGAACTCAAGTGATCTGCCTGCCTTGGCCTCCCAAAGTGCTGGGATTACAGGCGTGAGCCACTGCGCACCCGTCCTTCATATTTTCTTTTATCACCTAAAGGAGGACCAGGAGGCCCGTTTTACAACTAAATTGTAGAAGGCACATGGAGAAAGAAACTAGTTGAATTTCACAGGCTGTTTTACCAAACAATAAAATATTCCTTCCTCATTGAAATTCCCAATAAATATTCAAATAAAGTATCTAACGTCCCACCAAGAAGAATGTCCTTCAACCTTATAATGTACCTAGTACCACGAACCTACAAATTCAGAACAACTTTTCTGCAGGGGATTAGAAAACCAGAAGCAGAGAAACCAGTTAAAAGTCTATGCCAAAATCCAGTAATTCAAGGATGAAAGCCTTGAAGAGGACTGCGAGAGCAAGCAGGAATTTCGGGGCTCTATTCTGGAGACCAACAGAGGAAGAAGTAATAGAGCTTGGTAATACATTCAATTTAGTACAAAGGAGAAGAACAAATCCAGTGCTGTTGAGATGGCCCTTCTGTATAGCTAGTGACACGGCAAAGAAACACTGAGTTGAATAATGGATAAATCTAAGTTTTAATTAGCAATCCAACAGCCTCAAATGAACACAGCTTACACGTATTATACAACTCAGTAAACACTACGTGTTCACAATGTTCAACAATTGTGATAAAGACACAAAAAAAATTTTAAGAACTTAAAGCTCTAGCAAGGCTATAGAAATTTTAATCCCCAAGGACTGTGTCATACTGAGAATCCCATAAGCCAGGGGTATCCAATCTTTTGGCTTCCCTAGGCCACACTGGATGCATTGTCTTGGGCCACACATAAAATATACTAACACTTACAACAGCTGTGGTGAGCTTAAAAAAAATGAAAAATTGCAAAAATATCTCATAATGTTTTAAGAAAGTTTATGAATTTGTGTTGGGCCGCATTCAAAGCTGTCCTGGGCTGCATGCTGCCTGTGGGCCACGGGTTGGACAAGCTTGCCATAAGCCATATTGAAAATGCCTCAATTTACAAGAAGTCAGATGAAGAAATGATTAACACACCCAAACTCTAACTGTATTCTGACAATTCTTGTTTTATTAATTCACAAATGTTTATTTTTTACAATATAATAATACCTCCCAAATGCATTAGTGTTGCTGGCCTAACTCCTAGACAAAAACAAAGGAAGGGGGTGAGGGAAGGAGTAGTATCAGATTACTTTGTAATAGTATCTGATTCAAAACAAACAATTCAAGTTAAAGCACTGATCACAGTGACTAACTAAAATAACTGGTGGAGTTCACCAAATAATTTAATGAGTCTTGACTTCCTTCAATTTTGGCAAAGATGTCCTAAAATGGCTTTGGCTTTAAAAAGGTGTCAAATAAAAAACAGGACATTTTTCCTAGATAATATCTGAATCATAATCAAATCATAAAAATTGGAAAATATAATCGCTATCCCTAAAAAATGCAAAAGAACAAATGAGGTTTCCTACTAGCTATTACTAAATTTTGTTGGTAATATGCTACCTCTAGCTGCCTGTCTCTATACAGGATTTAAAAGAACCTAAGAAAGCTACAGTAACACATCAAAGGTTAGTTATCAGTTTGCTCTGAACCTTATTTAAAGTAGCAAAGTTTATAAATTTTACAAACCTGACAAAATCAAGCACAAACTAGTACACTACATTAGTCTAGGAAAATATCCAAATATGCAAATACAATGGACCCTCAAGCTTACTTTCAAGTTACAGTCTTTAAATTTTCATGAAAAACTAATATTATCACAGACCCCACACTGTCAAGAACTATTAAATTTTATATTAAAGATTATTGAAGACTTTAATTATCCTGATTTTAACTTACAGTGTTGGATTACTGCTTAACTACAGAAGCTTTAAAATTAATTCTAGAGCAAAGAAGAAATGTGGAGAAAATTTAAATTTGCAGGTGTAGCTTTTTTTTTAATTACATACAGAATCTCCATAGGAATGTATCAATTTAAGTACTTGGTTCTATCATCAGTTTCCTTCATCCTTTGCTGAAAGTTGGTGATTCCCATTTAGGATGTCAGAGCCCTAAAAACATTTTTATTTGTCAAATGGCAGAAGGGACATAGAGGCTCGGAGTTCAGATCATGGAATCAGAGTATCTGGGATCTTTTTTCTTTTATTTGTTTATTTTTTAAAGAGACAGGGTCTCATTCTGTTGCCCAGGCTGGCATACAGTGGCTGCATCACAGCTCACTGCAACCTTGAACTCCTGGGCTCAAGTGATCCTCCTGCCTCAGCCTCTCAAGTAGCTAGGACTACAGGCATGTGCCCCCACACATGGCTAATTAAAAAAATAAATAAATTGTAGACACAGGGTCTGGCAGTGTTGCCCAGGCTGATATCTGGGATCTTAAGGAAGGCTCCCAAATCTCTTTTTGCCCTAGTTTCTCTTCCATATAGGGTTGTTGAAGAAATAGAGGATAGTGGAAACTATAATGTGCTTTTTAAAGGATTTGGTATACAGTAGATGTAAGCTATTATTACAGTTTTCTGTGGTCTGACAATCCAAAGCATCTTGAGGCCTCTAATTCTCTACTTCTGAAAAGCTATCAATTCAACATGCTTCAACAACAAAATCCAAGGACCAGATAGGAACTTTTAAACATCTAAGTGATTCTGGACCAAAAACGGAGTATAAGCACTTTTTTTTTTTAGACACAGTCTCGCTCTGTGACCCAGTGGGGAGTGCAGTGGTACAACCTCAGCTCACTGCAACCTCTGCCTCCTGGGCTCAAGTGATTCTCCTGCCTCAGCCTCCCAAGTAGCTGGGATTACAGGTGTGCACCACCACACCCAGCTATTTTTTGTATTTTTAGTGGAGACAGGGCTTCACCATACTGGCCAGGCTGGTCTCAAACTCCTCACCTTGTTATCTGCCCGCCTCAGACTCCCAAGCACTTCTTATTTCTCCCACTAGTACAGTTAAAAACCATGGACACCATATACAAAACACACATAAGAGGACTATGAAGAGTGGAGAGGAGATGACTAGCTAGAGATCTCAGAACCCCAGGGAACAACATGGCCATGAGTTCCCTAAATTTTCTTTCTGTCTCATGTACCCCAGATAGAATCAGCACAATGCATACCTCAACTTTCATTCAGTGTTCTATTTTCCTTGATTTTATTTTTGGTGCTTTACAAATTAAAATGATCAACATCTGCCTTTACACTAAACCTATATGAAATATCTAGGATTTACTGAAAATAAGATAGGTAAAATAAGCATATGAGGACTCATTTATCCCATAGCCACTACTTTGTCATGGCTCAAACCATAGTGCCACTTCCAATCTCACTCCCTCACTATCCCAACTAAGCTCTTACCTAGTTTATGATTGCTATCCGATAACTGAAACTTAAGAATTGCCCTTCCCTCTCCTGCAGTGTGTATGGATTGTGTGTGTCTGTGTGTGTGTGTGTGTGTCTGTGTGTGTGTTTATACATATACATAAAATTTAAAAAACAAAAATCCATTTGTATATTCTGCAATATGTTGTAGTCTGTCATTATTTCATGTATTTAAGTCTTGCCCGTCAGATAAAATCTCAACCCTAAACAGAATAAGGAACAAAATCATATTCTTTTAATTTTTTTCCACTATGAATAGCAGGGTGCTAAACACGTAGAGCAGGAGTCAGTTTATTTATTCAATGCATGACAATTAAATCCCTACCTGTTAATGTGCTGAGGGATGAGGATTAAGAGAAAAACAGAAGGCAGTGTCTGTCCATAAAGGGTTTGTGGATGTGAGAAAGCCATGTAAACAAACATTTTAAGGGGTATACTGAGAATCAAAATGGAGATGTATTCAAGGCATTAATACGGGAAGACAGAGGAAGTGCCTAACTCTGCCAGGGAAAACATCACAGAAAAAAGATACAGGTCATTTAAATAGAATCGTGAAGGATAAAAAATTCCCAATCAAGAGAAGAGGTAGGAATGGCATTCAACTAACAGAGAACAGCAAGTGCAAACAAAATGATGAATGAGTGAGCAGGCCAGTACAATGAGGGACTATAAAAAATGCATAGGCTGTAAGTACAGGTATAGAAAGGGTGGTGACAAGTAACAAGGCTAGAATGGCAGCAAGGACTTAATGAAGCTGGAGGACGCTACATGCCACAAGACACATTCCTCCAGTCCTGGAGGCACTGGGGGTCACTGCAGAGACAGTGATAGGCTCGGATATCCATTCTGCTGATGAAATGGTAGACAGTTTGGAAGGGGAAAAAAATGAACAGATGTTAACAAACTATTTTAGAGTCTGAGAAACAGTGAGGATCTGCGCTAAGGGACACAGAGAAGAGAACTGTGCTAATTTCAAGCCTAAGTACAGATGAAAACAAATGGAGTGAGAAGAGAAGAGAGCCAAGGGAAGGACTGAGCAACATCAACATTTAACATAAAGCTCTACTGAAAGGCAAACCCATTCTTAGTTTGGAAATAAACTAAATATTTTTTCTATCTTTAAAACTGTAGTTCTCAAAGTATCAACAAGAAGAAACAGATCAAGATAAATATTTTAAAGCCTACACTGGAAACTCTTTATCTATCCAATAATCTCCCAATGTCTTTCAAACACTACGTGTTCAAAAATAAATAAATTCCATCTCCCTTGCAGCCCACTCCCCTCACCCCCAACAACAACAACAACAAAAAACCTGTCAAAGCAAAGAAGCTGCAAACATACCTGTTCATCAGGCTTTCTTTCGACAATGGGTACAAAAATTCATTTGAAAGCAGTAAATAGTCTACAGTCACTCATCCTATTTGGCCACTACACCATTTGACTTCTTCCCTTCTCTAGTTGCTCCTGTCTGTCCCACGAAATTCAAATTACTGGTCTTACACCTTTGGTTAGACATATGGCAAACTGCCTCTGTATAACTTGGCATAAAAAATCATTTTATGATTTTTCCTTTAACATTAATGATTTAATTTCTGTGAGGTATACTATCATAGCAAATTCAACTTGATTTAGAGCTCCACAGCATGAATACCACGGTCAGATAAACATGCTGCTGCTATTTGTAGCACAAAATGTTCCAATAGAAGCACTCTTTTCTGACTTTATCGTTTATACAAGGCACATCACTTCAAGTACACCCACTGACTTTACCACTGTGAAACCTATAAAATACAAAAATAACAATAATACAGGAAAAAAAATTAATCCAAGGCTTACATTATAGTCTAACAACAAAAAAATGCACACAAAATCTAAACTTTTCACTCCTCTGTTAGAGGCAACATAACTTTAGAAAGATAAGGCATTTTCCCCTGAAATCATATGCCCATATATATTTTATTTTGTTCTCCCCGCTAACATTTTCTGAGCATCTATGATGTCCCAGGCATTCTGCCTATACTGAGATGAATATGAATCTTGTATATTCTTTCAGGTAAAGTGGCTGGCAATAACTGAATGAAATCAGCATCTACCCAAAGGCTACCATATCACCATTTAGTTCTCAGCTCTAAGATTACCTCTCTGAAAGCCATGCCCTAAATATTTCTGCTAATACACCACCTCACACACATACAAGTCACTCTCTGTCCTTTTACTCTGTTTCATTTTTTTGTAGAACCATCAGCCTTGTCTTGATTTTCTTTCATTACTCTGTGTGTTTACTTTAAGTGTGACTTCCACTACTGAAAGGCAAGCTGTAGGAGGGATGGAAAATGCCCGTCTTGTTCACCACTTTATCAACGGTGCCTAGAAGGGTGCCTGGCATGTGCACAACACATATTTGGTGGTCTAATGAGTGCTTCCAAGTTCACAAATTACCAAAATATTAAAACTTTGTTTTATATGAAATCGTAATAGGGGTTTATTTGGTACCTCCATGAGTTCACAAGATCCAGAGACATATATATTCCATAAATTGACAGGCTAATAGAAAGAGATTTACTCAATTTAGTTTCTATCTAGTGCCATAAATTCAGTGGAAGTCAAATGCAAACTGCCCTTGAAGCATATTTAAGCTGTCTTTAAAATGGAGAAGCAAGAAAAGGAATACAAGAGGAAACAAAATTAATTTACTTGCTGAAAGAAGTATGAATACCATAGTTAGGAATTCATAATGCAAACAGTTTCAAAATGTCATTCAAGTTTCAAGTTCATATTTTTTTTCTATGACTTAGTGTAGTTATGAAAACACACTACACACTATTATATTAAAATATACAAAGTAGAAACTTGTATTCTGTAATAATTGGGATCCTCTGGAGGTGAGCAGCATATTCATATTTGGATTAAATAATGTGAAAGTTTCATTTGGTACTACTATAAAATATGAAAAAAGAAAACTAAAACAAAAAAACAAAAAGGCACACAGAATCTTGAAGTATCATGCTTCCAAAAACATGATGGAATAAAATTCCACTTTTAAAACCTATTTTGCAGGGGGAAAAAACTATTAATTCCATGTTGATACAGAAAGCACACAAAAGTTGCATTTTCTCTACTTTGGATCTCAGACTCTCAGTTCCATAAGTATAGCCCATTGTATGCAATTCCCAGGTCAGGGGTGCAGTAGACAAATTAATTAGTCTATTAAGTCTCAGTCGTATCCTGGCACTGATGTTTAGGTTAGCACCTTCGGCAACAAGTTTCTAACGCTTAACTATGCTGCCATTTGTTCCTGAGAGAAATTAGGAATGAAGGAGGAGAAAAAAAAAAAAAAAAAACCATAGCTGGGAAAAGTTCCCACTGACCTAAAGGCAGAAACATGCACGTGAGTCAGCGGTAGATTGGTGTATACATAAAAAGGAGAAAAACTCCAGTTGATTAGTTCTTGCTATTTCAAGTGATTAGGAGAAAAATAAATGGTTTCTTATCTAAGGGAAATTTAAATAGCATTTAACACTCTACAAAATCAACCTTAAAAAGATGATAGTTTGCTATGACTTAGCACTAAAGAGAAGCCCATGATTTCATATGATGAATCTCTGAAGTATTTCATGGGAAGATTGAACACTTGACTAAATATTCGTGGATGCTACAAATAACTGAAATGAACCAAATCACATATTTCCAAAAACAAACACATGTGCACTCATGCACATATGCACAGAGAAAGAGACTATCAGTTATTGTTCACCTTGAGCCATCAGCTACTGCAGGGTGTATCTAAAACAACCACATACCATACATAGTTGGAAATACAACAGAGCCAAGTTTGTTGACTGTCATACAACGCAACGGAATACCTATGTACTGTGTAGGCATTTTCTTTTCTCTTAAACTTTTCGTTTTCTTTTGTTCAGTGAGGTCATGGTACAGTGAAATGTTTTTACAGCATCACTGACCCAGAAGTGTGCAAAGGATTAGGCTCTAACAACTGTTTTACACGTAATAATTGGGTGTTGAGATTGTCTCAAATATCTCTGAGAACAGTAATGAGAAATGAATAACAGGATAAAGAATAACTCAGTTTACAATGACAGTCTGTCATAACAAATATCTGTTACATATTGGTCAACCATACTATGTTAGAACCCTGATACACCTTTACTAAAGTGATGTTAAACACCAGGCCATTTAGAATCCATCCAGCATGCTGGATTACTGAAAAACAATTGCAGTAGATATGTCTTATAGTTTCTCCAGACAATCCTATTGTCTGGGCTCTATAAAAGCTTGAGTTTGTCTCATTTCCCCCAGACTCAATGCCATTAAATTGAGGATTATGCAAACATAACTACATTTCTTAGAATTTTTCTTCAGGAAATAATCGGAAATACTGAGATATTAAAGTATTAAGGAGGTCAAAAGATAATGATTTAATATTATGTATAATAGTAAAAACTGAAACAATGAAAATGTACAACAATAAGGAAAAAGTTAAATAAACTATGATATAATGGAATAAGAAGTCGTTAAGTGCCATGTTTTCAAGGAACAGTTAATAGGACATAAAATCCCTAGATTATGGCAGGCAAACAATGAAGAATTGTTAAATGAATGAAATAAAAATGCAGCTTACAACTTTATGAATAGCTTAATTCTAATACATACGAATATTATATAAAAAGCATTATATATACATCTTTTATATATAATATGCACACTCAAAGAAAAAGAAAGATACACCAGATGCTGACAGAGGTTATCTTTGGGTAGTGGAACAAAACACGATTCTTACTATACACACATATTACTTTTACAATTAGAAATGAAGCTATTGTAGCTACTATAGCAGTTTGAGTCAAGTAAGGTCATTAACAAAGATGATGATCCTGACAGAATACAGGATGAATCAGAACTTTCTGAGTGATATTCTCATCAAACAGTTGATATAACCGTCAGACCTAGCCAAGTCCAGCAAATCCTGATACCCTCCAACACTATCTTTCCTCCAGGCATAATTAATCCCTGTTATTAAATTACTGTTTCTTATTATTATGTATATTAATGTAATGTCTATTTATCTGTGTGATGTGTTGTAAAATGCCAATTTTTTTATGGCTCTGGAATTCATCCTCTAAGGCCAAAAAAGGGGTGTATGTGGGTATGTATTTGACAAACTCATTTATTTATGACAAACTGCCCTAAACCTGTTTCACATATGGCAATGGATATTTTTACAAGCTCTGCTAAAGAGAATCTCATCCTTCAAATTGACAGTTATAGTTTCTCCAAAAAAATATCATTTTGCAAGTTTTTTAAAATAGCATTTTGAATCAACATTGCCAACTTTTTTAAAGTGTTTCAAAAGATGCAGTTACTCCCTAAACTAAGAATAGTGATATCTGTTTCTTAAGATCCAAATTATTTTATGGGCAAAGTCCATTCCAGCCTATCACTTACAGATACCTTTTTATATCATCATCTATGTCACCCAAAGGTATCCCCATGTGTAGTTTTTCTTCAACTGTCATGACATTAAAGTAAATGGAACTCCTCTGTGATCTATTTGTGTGGTTACTATGGCAGTCACTTGAATTTTGCACTTGGGATAACCCTATTTGGGGCAGGGGAGAAAAGTAAGGAACCAAAAGAATGGAAGAAGAAGTTAGGGCAATGGTCAGCACCTTTAAACACTTACTTTTTATTTGGAACAGCCTTTGGCCAAAATCTATAAAATTCTGACCTGACTTTTTGGCTTCCTGGCATGAAAGTCCTTAGTATTGTGATGCGAACACCATGACAGTGGAAAGAACATCAACCTTTTCCCTTGCTCTTAAGAATCATTAAACTTCTGCTTCTCGCCATCCCCCAAATTTCCACCTCACACTCCCCCACCAACCCTAGTCAGGCCCTGGTTCACAGGTTCTATTGACCAGACAATGGAAACGCCACATGGTGACTGAACGGCTCTGATGGAAAACAGATGAGACAGGGTACTCTGCTTGCCCAGCATTTTTAAGCATGCAGCCCTCCCTTGCTGTCTTTGAGGATATCACTGTAGGTGACACGTGAAGACAGTTAGGGAACGAAATCTGAACACTTTCTATTTTCACGGGTTTTCTTAATTTTTTCAAAGTATTTTCACTCTAAATATGATATCCTAAAAAAGGAAAAGAAAACAAAACAAAACACACTCCAGTAGGTAACAGATAAAAGCAGCTGATATAATTGAAGAGTAGAAGCTGCAGGCAGAGGCTGCAGAGCTTCACTGAGAGCCTGCCCACCTACTCTTCAGCTTCCCCCAAAGCTCCCTATGACCCCTGAAATTCTAGGGCCCTGAGGAACATGACTTGAAAACCACTTAAAAAGATCCTGTCCTTTCAATCACAGAGTTAATATTCACAATGTTGATTATTTCCAGCAACATAAAAGTCCACGACGTGTATAACATTTGTAACTTTAAAAGTCTAAAGGAGTCACTAAATTTTTTGACAATATTTTGCTCTATTATTATGAGTAAAATTGTGTCACAATAGGATTTAAAAATCCTAGGGGTTCATAAAAATAACAGGCCCAAGTTTTTAAAAATGCATTTGTCCTCCTAAATTATTTTCAATAGAGGAGGAGAAAACTGTATTTTTTATAGCTAGCTGTAAGTGAATTAGCTACCAAGCATAAAGTCAGAGGCCAGAATCACGCAAAACCCTATTCAATAGTAGAAACTGTTATAGTAGTTTCAGAAAGGAAAAGAAAATTAAGCAATGGTCCTCATGCCACTTAGCCAGCCAAAGAGATGTCCAGAAACTTAATATATCCTGCCTTATTTTTTTTTCTTAGTCCTCATAAAACTGACAAAACAAAAGATGGGGTAAAGTTTTAAATAGTCAATAAAAATGTTTTGTAAAGTGCTCTGGATATTTTTAGTGTCACAATAAGGCCTCATTTCAAAGAAACATGGTTGGATGCCTTGAAAATTTTTGCATATTTCTATGATATATCTTCAAGAGATAGTCACTTGAGATAAACATTTAATTACTTCCTACTTGAAAACAAGAGTTTTAATAGCTCATTCCACACTATATTGTAATTGTCTGTTGATGGCTTTTTAAAAGTATTGGTACTTGTAAACTTCTCACTAGGCAGTGAGTTCCTTGAAAGTAGGTTGTAGGTTTTATTCATCCTAGTTTGGTTATTCATTAATCCATTCAACATTCCCATTGTATACCTACTAGCCCTATACTAAATCCTTATTAGTAGTTAAGTATACACAGAAAAAAGTCACAGTTCCTACCCATAAATTCTAAAAGTGTAGTGAATAAGAAAGCAAATGATTGCAATACAGTGTCTTAGAGTCCAACACTGTGTCACAGGAGCACAAAGAAGTGACAGAGAGCTCACCTGAAATACCAGGGAACAGCCAATCTGAACCACAGTGGAAGCTTCAGCTAGGTTCTGAAGACCACTGGGAGCTAATCATGGAATGTGTGGTGACATATGCAACCAGAAGATCTAAGCAATGCCATATATTCAAGGGTCTCATATGTTATACTGAAGTTTCTTCACTTTATTCTGAGAATCCATTTAGGAATTTTGGAAAAGTCACTTTGTATATACAACAGAGTGTATATAAAACAGACTAGAAGGTGCAAAACTGGCTGCAGGGAAACCAGTTAAGAGATAGTTGTGGTGATTCCGGTGAAAAACGATGTAATCCTAAACAGTCTTAGTTTAAAGTAGAGAATGGTGGACATACCTGAGAAGTATTAAGGAGACAGAACAAGCAAGCCTTAAAAACTGAGTTGAAGACACAGAGAAGTCAAGGAATCAGGGACAATTCCTAGGTTTCTGCTTTTGGCCACAAGGAGAACAGAGATGCAGTTTACTAATTAGGGAACACAGGAGGAAAAGCAAATCTGGTGGGGGAAGGGAAGACGAGGTTAGCTTGGGACATGGGACGTGTCAAGCTTGAAGTTCTTGTTTATCATTCCAAGTGGAGACGTGCAGAAATCATAGGACGTGAGGATCTGGTGCATAAGAGAGAGACCTGTGCTGGGATGTAAGATATGAGAGGCATCAGCTACAGTGCAGTTAAATGAAGTCATGAAAAGCGGGAAGAATGAGCCAGAATAGGGCTAAGAGAAGAAAGCTTCAAATTGATCTGAGAGCACCAAGAAGGGACACAGAGGAAATAGAGAAACTTGCAAAGGAACCAAAGCAGCAGCAGCACAAGTGGTCAGAAGTGGGTGAGGAGAGTCCAGAAAACACAGTTTTGAGAAGGGACTCCTGAGTGTTAAATGATCCTGAGATACACCAAAAGGACTTAAAGAAGGCCCTTAAATTTTGCAAAGAAGTAATTCATGACATTTGCAAAAGAGTTTTAGCAGAGAGATGATAACAGAAGTGATACAAAAGTTACAGAGGAGCAAATATGATGTGAGAACATACAGAGAGTGGTTCTAGCATAGGTCACGGCACATATTAAATGCTCCAAGTGATTCTAGTTTAGTTTCTCCACTGCAAGTCACACTGCCCAAGTTTTTAAGACATGCCACTATCCCCCAAGGCAATACCAAACAAATGTTTAACGACGGCTTTGACTGTAACCAAAATCTCAGTGGAAATTAAGAGAAGTGCTGTGGGACACTTACTGGATTAAAGCATTTAGGAATCTCTTAAGCCATCGTAGTAGCCAAGTTTCATGCTCCACAATCTAAGGAAGCTGGAATTGTTGGGAGGCATTGCCTTTGGTGGTTTTCAGTGCATGTATCATGAAAACTGTTCATAGAGTTGTGTCACAAATCATTTTATTTGTTCTTTTAAATGAATCTTATGGTCTGGGGGCATAAAAGTAAAAATAAATGAGTTTTATGAGAATAGTAAAATTAATTTATCCCTAAAACTCATAAAATACAAATATAACATCAAAATAGATTATGCCATAGATTCTGTATGACATAAATGACTTAGTAATGTTACCCCAATTAATTGCTCAGTTGATTATTATTCAACCACATAAAAGATATAAACAGGTAAAATATCTTATATGAACCAAAGACCAATGAGCAAAAATAAGGGGCCTGTTTTATATCTTTACATGTTTTCATATCTCAGGCAAAACAGCTATAGTGCCAGCCATCTGTTTATTCACATTAGCATCTAGCCAAACAATAATATTTTTTCTTATATTACTAAGGGACTTGCCAAAAAAAAAAACAACCCAGCCTTCCACTTAATTTGCATGACAACATAGGAGGAGGGCCCGCCCAATGCTGTCTCAAAAGAATCAACCAGAAATTAGAATGAGATTTCAACTCTTAAAAATATTTTTAGTTTATCAAGATGAAAATGTAACTGATCTGCCTTCATGCACAATAATACCAGTTTCTGCCTACACCTTATCTCGAGGAAATTTATAAAAGAACTACACACACCCATTCGGAAGATTTGCAGCTACAAACATTTTTAAAAATAAACAGTGGTGCATGCCTGTAGTCCTAGCTACTTGGGACGTGGAAGCAGGAGTATCTCTTGAGTCCAAGAGCTTGAGGTTACAGTGAGCTATGATCATACCACTGCCCTCCAGCCTGGGCAACATAGCTTTATTTCTCTTTCTAAAAAAAAAAAAAATACAATAAAACAGAAAATAAAATAAAAAATAACCACATACACATATTTAATCATTTGACGAGACTTTCGCCTACTAGAGCAATATAAGAAAAAGCACTTTTACCAAATTCCTACATTTACTCTCCACAAACAGCTCCTCTTCTGACTGCCCAGTTTCTGTTAACAAAAATAACCAACATTCCAGAGATACTCAGCCTCAAAACTTTGGTGTTATCATCCTCCATATCCAATTAGCTGCCAAATACAATGGATTCCACATACTCGATGTGCCAGGCAATGGTCTCTTTCTTTACATTACCTCTGCCACAATGCAATTAGGCCCTTTACTATCTCTATCTGTGCAACTTTCTGAATGCATTCCAGTTCTTCCTAAGCAGAGTCCCAACTGCTCTCCATAAAGTCCAGTTCCAAGTTACTGCTTTTCAGCTTTCAATGGTTCTCCCCTGCCTGGCAAATTAAGTGAATACTCCTTGGCCTGGGATTTAAGATCCATAACATGGCAGTTTCCTTCATGCACAACGATTTCAGGCTTGCTATCCTGGAACTGCATTTCCCAGTTTCTGACCTCCCTAACATCACTATGCTATTTCTGCCAACTGAATGTCCTTTTCTCCCATCTTCTCTCACCAAAAGACTACTTGATCCTTCAATAATAATCTCAAACATCTGTTTCTTCATAAACTCAAACATCAATTTCTTCATGATGATTTTACTTTCCCCATTCATCTCTGATCCTGCCCTTTTAGGAGCCCTCACAGAATGTCTGTGCCTTGTATAGTTCCTATGTTTCATTTTGAATATTGTTTATTTTTGCTTTTGCCTTAAATGCCATTAGCAATCCACTGGCTCCATGAGGGCAGGAAATGCACTACAATTATTTCTCATCTAGAGGAGCCTAATGATCTGATCATAGTAACACTGTCATTATTTGCTGAATTTAATTGAAAATGTTAATATGTTAGCACGAGTTTGAAGCCAAATCAATTCATCAGTGACTCGCAAGGAATGAACAAACCAGTCTGTCCACTAGAGCTTTTATTGTCCCTTTCTTGTGCACCAAGCCTGTGACTTGCACTAGTTGTGTCCAGATCATCTGAGTTCACCAGTTATTGTTAGCAAAACTTAAGAATTGTGGGTAAATGGATTATACACAAATAACTTTCAAAGAAAGTAAATATTAGGTCAATTTTGAGAAAGGAAATATCTTTTTAAAAATAACTCTTTTGATTCTACCAAAGAAAAAACATGCATTTAATAAGTTTTCAAAATAAAATGAGACAGTTTAAATTACACATTTTTGTAAAGGTCAACACATAAGTTAATTTGAGGTCCTCTGTTTTCTAAACATTATCTACTAGATTTTCACCTATGAATACCATTGAAGGTATTATTTTTAACTATTTTTTTAAACCACAAAAAGCAAAGGTAGCCATTTACACAAACACACACACACACCCCTATAAATCATTATAACACTGTAAGATTCAAGAAAATAGTGACAGTTTTAAAAAATGCAACCTAATGTATAGCCAAATAACTCATGAAACTCAGCATGCACTGCTGACTTTGGACATGATCACCAAATTTAACAAGGTGTTTGTGAGAGAAACAAATTAAGAAAGGTCCCCAGAGTATCCATTCAAAATGACAGATGCATCTGAACTCTGGGGCAAACTCCTCTAAGCTAATATTGTGCTTGGCCTTAAATAAAAATTGTAAAATCTAAACATCTTGAATTTAAATAATAATTCAGAATGTAGGAAAACACTGCAAAAGTCAGGCTATCAAGCATATTAGAGCCATCTAAGGCCTAAATATAATCATGTAATTGGTCTTTACGGATAAGACCAAGAAGAGTCTGATACAAAATTTGCGAAACCTATAAAACATCTATTCAGAACGAAAAGCACCAAATATCCTGCAGTGCAAAGTGAAAGAGCATACCTATTTTTCATAAATATTCTTTCCTGGGCATTCATCACTGAGTCACACATATTAGAGCTGTCATTTTCAAAGAAAGGAAGAAAAGGAGGGAGGCAGGGAGGGAGGAAGGGAGGGGAAGGAAAGGAAGGGAGAGAAGGGGAGGGAGACGGGAGGGATTGGGGGGGAGGGAGGGTAGGAGGGAGGGGAAGGAAAGGACAAAAGGGAAGGGAAGGGGAGGAAAGAGGAGGAAAGGGGAGGGAGGAAGGGAGGAGGGGAGGAAGGAAGGAGAAATGTGTGCCTTGCAGGTAATCTTTGCTGCGTGAAATTGGATTGCTGAAAACTACCATTCATTGAATTCTTATAAAGCCCTGATTGCTGCCTATCACCATTTGGCACAAACTAAGAAAAGTTATTTTCCACTAACACCCCACCAACTATCACAACTCATTCAGCTTTAAAAATTTACTTGGTTCTTTGCCTTATTTTTTGAATAGTTGGTTCAAGTCCTTACAAATATCCAAATTCCCATTAAAATCTCTCCGGTACCATGTCCAAGTTTCAAAGCTCTTCAGTGCTTTTCTTTACATGTGGATTTTATATGGACTTAGAATTTTTAAGGCATGTGCTCTTGGTTGTTTTGCTAACACTGGGTGAAAGACTTGGGCTCATCTGTGAAATTCACAAATAGTGAGTTTGTGAAAGTCACAAATTTTAACTTCTGATAACACTTAGGATATGACTGGCTAAGGTTTGGAAGCCAGTATGTGATTAAGAAACACAACAGTAAAATTCACTGACTTATATCAAAACAGACTACTTATCTTTGACATCATTAATTCTTAGCCTCCCTATAGTCCTGTGTATTGCCTCAGAATTACAGATTAATAGAAAAATGACCACTTTTCATCATTCCTATGTCCATTCCTTTTTTTCAAAATTTGCATAGTTAAAAATTATATTTCTAGAGTGAAGAAAGGAGAGAGGTCAACATAAATTGTGAAACTGACTAAAAGTGTAAGACATTTATGCTGCTGGTATGGGAGGAATCCATATTCTTAATGTCATGCTTGGAGTCTGGGTGGCTACAAGGCAGGTGATTCTAAATAGGAAGAGGGAGATTGACCAATTTCTGATTTCACAGACATAAGTTCCAGTTCTTGAAGGCAGAGAGGACAAGCATGATCTAATATGTATTTTGTATACCTCAAAACAAACTCTTCACTTAATAGGTGAGGAAACTACAGTCTAAGTGGCCAGGAGATTTTACTTCTAGGAAAGTAAGTTAAATTGGAAGGATACCAAAGGCTTTGATGTAGCAGCCAAAGTTCAGTGGCAATAAATTATTCAAATTAACATAAACATGAAGAAGATTTTTTGGCTCACATCACTGAAAAGTTAAGTAGTATAAGCCTCAGGTAAGGCCTGATTCAGTGGTTCAACAAATAACCAAAGACTCACATCCTCAGTGATATGTGTCATACGGTATGTGTGTCACTGTATGACACACATCACTATAGCAAGAAACGTTAAATACACTGATTGTCTTGATCTAAGTTGCACACATGATGTGAAGTCAGCTTCCCTGAAAATTTATGAATACTCAGAAGGAAACCATGGACTGTCTTGTTGGAGAGAAGTGGCAAATGAATGTTGGAGGTCAGTAAAACAGTCCACCTTAACATGCATGTCTGGGACACATTCTGATCCTACACCTGAGGCTTCTGTCCCCACTCTTTATCATAGTCCTTGTTTTGAGAGCAGTGATGGGGTAAACAAGGATGTATTTATTGTCAAAAGATGAAAAATGCCCCCAAGTATCCTTATTCCTAATTCAGGGAGTAGTAGACTAGGTATCCTAATAGGTTCTCCAACTACTCCAAGTTTTATAATGTTGAGAAAGCAAAATGTAATGCAAAAAAGTTAGTATCTTCTCCAACTTAAGAGTACAGTAAGTTTTGCTTAGAAACTTAAGGGCAAGGAAATAATTATACAAGAAAATCACATAAACAATAAAATAATTCAGCCAATAGAATAGTTTCAGTAATTCTGAAGCTCCAACTTTATCTTGCTTGTCCTAGAAAAAGTGAAGAAAACTAACTATAGTTGCCATATACGGGTAATACAGATGTGTCAAGTAGCAGGGAAAAAATACTCCTCGGAAGGGTCAAGGATTTCTTCCAAAAATGAAAGAGAACATCACAGTCCCCCAAACAGCATATGCTAGTCAAGACATAGCATCCTTAAGTTGGATGCTATAATAACTGGAAGCAACCCAGTGTCAAAGGCAACCCATCAAGAGTGGTTTATGCATGTTATTTAGTGTCACACTATAGATTTTCCTAAGACCCAGTCCAAGTGTGAGCAGGACCTTTCCGGAAATCACAGTCAAAGAGATCTAGAACCCAAATTATCTTTGAGCCGAAAGATCATCTAATCTAGAACATCTCAAACTGTGCCTAGAGGTAGGGGCAAACAGGGCAGAGAAGGTTTTATAACCACCCCTCTCTTCCCACTATTTCACCTCCAACAAGAACACATCTGATTTTATCTATTCTACAAAAACAGCTTCTGGAAATAAATTCATTTGAATAAAAAGCTTTGGGGCTAAAAAGAATAGCTAATCTAAACTTATTATTATTCAATCTGAGAAACTTAAGTCCAAGAAGGTTCACTCATTTATCAAGTGGAAGTGCCAAAACTTAAACCAGGGCTCTCAAATTCATTCAGTAAGAATGGCATATCTACTGCTAGTCATTACCTTGAGTAGTCTCTAAACCAGATACACCTCACCAACAAGTAAATCAGAATATCTAAATACTCCCTTCAATTTCAATATTTCCTTTATTTCCTTTCATAAATCCAAAATTTCAGAGTACATAAGCCTGTTGCATTCACATCCCAACTGTAGGTGGTATGTGACTGTGGGATAGGTACTAAACTCCTGTAAAACTATTTTCTCATCGGCAAATAGGAATAATATTATGCTACCTCTAAAGGAGGTAGCATGTTAAAATGTTTTCATTTTAAAAACTTCACCATCATGTACATAAAAAATGAAGAGAAGGACATTCTATAGAACAGTTACAAAGCAAAATGTCTGACAAAGATAAACAAAGTATATAAGATAAATTAATTATACATAATTGTATGTTGCATGTTTACAGCATTTTAGAGACCCATGGTGGAAAATAGGTCAATGAAATAGCACTTTTGATGTGAGTTCCTTTGGGATATATTAACCTAATGGCAGCATAGAAGCAATGGTGAGCACTCTATCCAATTTGGCTCTTCGGAACTCAAAATAAAGAGAAAATTTTAGTACAACCTAGAGAAGAAATGTTGACAATTGTTAAAAGATTGCATAATTTGGGGTCTGGATAGCAAATGATCAATTTAACCTTATAGAGGGTGTAAAGGTATTTTAACATTTATCTAAATAAAGAGTATTAGGTTGGCTTTATGGATCATACTGTTGATTCTTATTCAGAATAAAGACACAGCAAGTGGTTACCCAGAGACAAAATCTGGCTTTCAGGAGTAATTTTCCACACAGTCAGTGCATGCTTACTAATATTATTTTATATAAGATAATTGTAATATATATCATAATTGAGATAAAGTTTCTAGAAGTCACACTGATGAAGAAATTACCATCAAAGGTTCCCGCATGCTTTAGATTTTGCAATCTTATAACCAACTTAGAAAGAACAAAAATAATAGTGCTAAAACATTATCAACAGACTATTGAAATTAATTTCTGTAGTCTGCAAAACGAAACTAATTTTGCACTTTATATACATAATGTTTTATTTGTGGTTTGCTTTATCCATTAAACATTGCTATTGTGTTGACAGCACAATAGAATGAGAATGACATATAGGCATCTCTCAGTCTCTCTCTCATACACACACGCACACGTCCCACAAGAGGTATCCACATGTTACACACACATATAAGAAAAGTGCTAGGCCAGGCACAATGACTCATGCCTGTAATCCCAGCATTTTGGGAGGCCAAGGTAGGAGGACTGCTTGAGCCCAGGAGTTCAATACCAGATGGGGCAACACTGGAAGACTCCCTTCTCTACATAAGAAAAAAGAAATTAAGAGGGTATGGGGCTGCATGCCTGTAATCCCAGCTACTTGGGAGGCTGAGGTGGAAGGATAGATTGAACCCAGAAGGTCGAGGCTGCAGTAATTGTGTTGCTGCACTCCAGCCTGGGTGACAGAGCAAGGCTCTGCCCCTCCCCAGCCAACAAAAAAGGAAAGAAAACATGCTAACAAAATGAGAATTTTTTTTTTCAGAAAAATTGCTAATCCAAGATTATTTATCTAAAATATTAGGATCTTCTTTTAAAGATGAACATATTTAGATTACAAAAAAAGGACTCTTTCTCCATCAACTTCTAAAAAGATACTTCAAAATTCACAAAAATATCAATATGTCATTTCATTTTAATGCTACAATCCTGCAGTGAAATAGGTTGTATTTATTGATATAATTGGATCTGTGCCCCCACCAAATCTCATTTTGAATTATAATGCCTAATATTGGAGATGGGGCCTGGTGGGAGATGAGTGGATCAAGGGGGCAGGTTTCTCTTGAATGGTTTAGCACCATCTTCTTGATGCTGTCCTCATGAATGTGGGTGAGTTCTCATGAGATGCGGTTGTTTAAAAGTGTGGAGTACCTCCCCCCATTCCTCTGTCTTGGTCCTGCTTTCACCATGTGACTGGCCTTCTCCCACTTTGCCTTCCACCACAGATAAAAGCTCCCTGAGGCCTCTCCAAAAGCCAAGCAGATGCTGGAGCTACGTTTCCTGTAGAGCCTGCACAACTGTGAGCCAATTAAACCTCTTATTTATAAATTACCCAGTCTCAGGCATTTCTTTCTAGCAATGCAAGAACTGAGTAATGCACTTGTCTTCCTATAGAATACAGTATTACTATTCTAGGCCTCTTGAAGTGTGGCTGTAATAATTCTGTTCACGTATCAATATTAGCCAAGCTAACAGTGCACTCTGAGGTCATATTGTACCTCAAAAATATCCTGTTTCAATATCTGGAGGAAAGACAGGTTCAAAACGCCAAGCAGATTCCGTGAGGCTGAGAAAAATCAATGTCAAGGCCTAGTGAGGGTGTAGGAGTCTTAATGCTACCACTACAGCTCTTTGTTAAAGTTCAGAAAAAGTTACTTTTATTAGTGTGGGTACATGCAATTTAATGGTTAAAATGGGTAAAAACATACTTCCTTAATCTTCTCGGAAGAAAAAAGATAAGCATACAACTTTGAACATATTATTCCAGGACTAAATGTTCACAGATAACCAGGATGAGTTTGGTCTCCTTGAAAGAACACATAAAAATATTTAGTTAGTTGTATCTTTTTAGCCACTTGGAAAACAATAATTTACCAATGCCAAAGCTTGAAGTGAGCACTCAAATTAATTATGTAGCTATTTGTGATTTGAATTTCTCCCAAAAATGTAATGAAGTGAGTATTCTCTGAAATAGGGGTCACTATTTAAAATCAGCCAGCATGTGGCATGTTTTGTGGTTCTGCTTATGCTCCTTGGCAGCAACATTACAGCTAACCAGGACTTTTTTTAGTACTCGCTCTTGGTGTGTTTGACAACTCCTCACTCCCACAGTCCTTTAACATGGGGCTTCCCCAGTCAGGGATGCAGATCCCACACTGAGCCCATAAAACAATTAGTGGGAGGCCTTGGCATTGCATTCAAAGACCTTTGCAAAAAGCCAATGTAGCCGGCTGTGTGAAATTTGACGTGTGGGGAGCCCCCATAAAACTCTTTAATGGAAACCGGGGACTTCTTTTGGAAAAGGTTGAGAAACTGAGCACTAGCTGTATAATTAATATAATTAATTAACAAGAGACAATAAGCATTTCAATAAAAAGAATCAGAAAGTAATAAAAGAATAAAAATTCTAGGCAATATTTTCTTTGTAAAAGAAATTGAAATAACTGTTCTGTATGAAGAGAGATTTCCTTGCATATGGGAAAAGTAGTTTTGTTTGTAGTTTTAATTTAAAAGAATTTGTCAAAATGCCACATAACCAGTATAAAAAGTACAATTAACATCCCTTTTCTTTTTTATTCAATACTTACCATATCCATTTTTAAATATCATATAAAGCACTGTTTGAAGAATCTCCTCAAAATTATGAACCCAGACAACGAAAACTTGCAAGAAAATACTTTTAACACTAGAGGCACCATAATCCAATAAAAAGGAGAATTATTAATATTCACGAACAATTGAAAGACAATTACTTTCAAACAACAGAATAAAGAATATGATAGAAAAATGACGACACTGTCCCCACTTTTATTCATCAGTATTTTCCAGAGTAGAAACAAAATGATTTAGGAGAATCTCCTAATAGAAAAACATGACTTAAATCATCATCTTGGGTATAACATTTTTAGAAAATTTATTTTTCTTGGTAGTTCCCCATTCCCATATCAAGAGCTGGATCATAGACTTTGCCCATAATATAGAAAAGGCTCAGCCTATGATGAAAAGGGAAGCCCTGGCATGCAGGAAGAAAGAAGGCCTGCTCCTTGTGGCCACGGGAGAGTATGAGAAGAAAAGACAGATGCAGAGCAAGGAGATCAAGTTTTAGTGACTTCTCAAACTCTACAGTCTGGCTTAAACCATTTCTTGGGTGGGTTGAGGGGGTGGATAAAGGGGGTAGTAATGAGGTGTCTCTGTCAAAACGTCCAGTTTTTAAAATTTACTACTAGTGTAGAAAATATCACATTGTATTCCAAGTAGCAAGGATAAGTATTGGTTTGTGAAGCCTTTGTTTGTTAGGTGTATATACAAGAGCATCCATGTTGGATTATAATTTTAAATGTACTTCTTACCATAATTACTAGTCATAAAAGTTTGAGAGCAATTGCTCTAAGAGAAGGCCAACTCTCAGCTCAAATCCATATCCTATATGACAAGGGAATATAATGCATCGTGGAAAAGGCTGGTGACAGTTAAATATACTTAAGGCAGTGCACGTCTGCGTATGGATGACTTGGGTGTGGCTTGCAAGAGATTCAGAACATAACACTGAAAGGTACAGCCATGTTGAAAGAGTTGGTGGGGTAGCAGAGGCCTCGAAACAAGAAGAAGAAATAACATGATGCATCACGTTATAAGATCTTCAACATTAAAGGCAAACAGCTGGGATTGTGGGATTCAATATAAATACCTACATGTGACCCAAATGACTAGGAAGAACCCATCACTCCTCAGCAGACACATGTTTAAACTTTGTATAAAGCCAGGTTCCCAACAGCAAAAAATAAATAAATAAATAAAATAATGGAGGGAACACTGAATGGACCCACTGACACAGGAGAAGTAAGTTCCCTGTGACAGGTACCAATGCCATATAATAAGAGTAATATAGGCAGGGTTAAATCAAAAATAAAGATGAAATAGTTACACTAAAGAGAATTAACTAACCAAAAATAGCTTACTCAGCAGATTGAGTTCAAAAGGAAAGGAAGTTTAAAGATAGAAGCTTCATTTTTTTTTTTTTAAACAGTGTCTTACTCTGTTGCCCAGGCTGGAAAACTAGAGTGCAGTTATGTAATCACAGCTCACTGCAGCCTCAAACTCCTGGGCTCAAGGGATCCTCCTGCCTCAGTCTCCTGTGTAGCTAGGACTACAGGCGTGTGCCACACTGCCTGGCTAATTTTTTAATTTTTGCAGAGATAGGGCCTTTCTATGTTGTCCAGGCTGGTCTCAAACTCCTAGACTCAAGTGATCTTCACACTTCAGCCTCCAAAAGTGCTGAGACTACAGGCATGAGTCACTGCACCCATCCAGAAGTTGCATTTCTTTGTAACAATGAATAAAACAATTCTATTGCTACATTTGCCATTTAAAATGAGGATACACATGAGAATAATGAAAATGTATTAATGCAGTGTGATGTATGTATACTTGTTTGATTTTAATAGAACTGCCTCAAGACTTAAGTCTGAGAAAAATTAGAGAATAAAAACCTTCATTCCATCATAATTTAATTGAAAAAAAACTTGTATTTCTTGCTATAAAGAAATACTAGAGACTAGATAATACTAAAAAAAGAGATTTAACTGGCTCATAGTTCTGCCAGCTGTACAAGACCCATGCTCTGGCATCTGAAAGGCTTCTAGGGAGGCCTCAGGGAACTTTTACTCATGGCAGAAGGTGAAGCAGGAGCAGGCATGTCACATGGTGCAAGCAGGAGAAAGAGAGTGAGGAGGGAAGTGCCACACACTTTTAAATGACCAGATCCCACAAGAACTCACTATCAGGAAGACAGCATCAAGTCATGAGGGGTCAGCCCCCATGATCCAAACTCCTCCCACCAGGTCTCACCTCCAGCACTAATGAGAGTTAGGTGAGGACAAATATCCAAACTGTATTATTCCGCCCTGGCCCTTCCCAAATTTCATGTCCTCCTCACACTGCAAAATATAATCATGCCTTCCCAACAGTCTTAACTCATTCCAGCACTAACTCAAAAATCCACAGTCTGAAGTCTCATCTGAGATAAGGCAAAGCCCTTCTGCCTACGAGCCTGTAAAATCAAAAACAAGTTATTTACTTCCAAGATAATATGGGGATACAGGCATTGAGTAAACACTACCATTCTAAAGGGGAGAGACTGGCCAAAAGAAAGAGGCTACAGACCCCACTGAAGTCAGAAACCCAGCAGGGCAGTCGTTAAATCTTAAAGCTCCAAAATAACCTCCTTTGACTCCATTTCTCACATCCAGGGCACACTGCTGCAAGAGGTGGGCTCTCAAGGCTTTGGGAAGCTCCACCCCTGTGGCTTTGCAGGGTTCGGCCCCCATGGCTGCTCTCACAGGTTGAAGTTAAATGCCTCTGGCTTTTCCAGGCACAGGGTGCAAGCTGCCAGTGGATCTACCATTCTGTGGTCTGGAGGAGAGCAGCCCCCTTCTTACAGTCTCACTAGACAGTGCCCCACTGGGAATGCTGTGTGGGGGCTCCAGCCTCAGATTTCCCCTCAGCACCATCCTAACAGTGGTTCTCTGTAAGGGTTCCACCCCTGTAGCAGGCCTCTGCCTGGACATCCAGGCTTTCTCATATATCCTCTGAAATATAGGCAGAGGCTGCCAAGCATTCTTCACTCTTTCGTTCTGGGCACCTACAGGCTTAACACCACATGGAAGCAGGCAAGGCTTATGGCTTGCATTCTCCAAAGTGGCAGCCCAAGCTATACCTAGGCCCCTTTGAGACATGGCTGCCAGATCAGCCAGGATATAGGGAGCAATGTCCCAAGGCTGCACAGGGCAGCAGGTCCCTGGGCCTGTCCCACGAAACCATTCTTCCCTCCCAGGCCTCTGAGCCTGTGATGGCCAGGGCTGGGGCTAAGGTCTCTGAAATGCCTTAGAGGCCTTTTCCCCACTGTCTTGGATATGGGCACTTGGCTTTTTTGTTATGCAAATTTCTCTCCCAAGTGGTTGCTATGCAGCCTGCTTGAATTCTTCTTCCAAATAAGCTTTTACTTTCTCTGCTACATGGCTAAGCTACAAATTTTCCAAACTTTTATGCTCTGCTTCCTGTTGAAATATAAATTCCAATTTTAAGTCATTTCTTTGCTCCTGCATCTGAGTGTAGGTTGTTAGAAGCAGCCAGGCCACATGGTGAACACTTTGCTGCTTAGAAATTTCTACTTTCAGATACCCTAGGTCATCACTCCTAAGTTCAAACTTCCACAGTTCCCTAGGGCATGAATAGAATGCAGCCAAGTTCTTTGCTAAGGCATAACACACATGACCTTTGGTCCAGTTCCCAGTAAGTTCCTCATTTCCATTTGAGACCTCGGCAGCCTGGCCTTCACTGTACATATCACTATCAGCATTTTGGTCACCATCATTTAACTAATCTCTAAGAAATCCCAAATTTTCCTTCATTTTCCTATCTTCTTCTGAGTCCTCCAAATTCTTCCAACCTCTGCCCCTTACCCAGTTCCAAAGCTGCTTCCACATTTTCAGTTATCTTTTAGTAATGCCTAACTCCTCAGTACAAATTCTTTGTATTGGGTTGTTCCTGTATTGCAATAAAGAAATACTTAAGACTGGGTAATTTACAAAGAAAAGAGGTTTAACCAGCTCATGGTCCTGCAGGCTATACAGAAAGTGTGGGTCTGGCACTTGCTTGACTTCTTGGGAGGCCTCAGGGAGCTTTTACTGATGGCAAAAGGCAAAATGGGAGCAAGCATGTCACGTGGCAAAAGTAGGAAGAGGCTGAGAAAGGAGGTGCCACACACTTTTAAATGACCAGATCTCCCGAGCACTCACTATTGTGAAGACGGCATCAAGCCATGAGGGATCTGACCCCATAACTGAAACACCTCCCACTAGGCCCAGCCTCCAGCATTGGGGATTACAATTCAACATGAGATTTGGGCAGAAACAAATATCCAAACTATATTAAAGCTTTTGTGATTATTTGTGGAATTATTGGTAGGATGACCAAACGTGATTGTACACATACACAAACAAGCGGCAACTATGAAGGGCTAGAAATAATCAAATAAATCATACCTAAAAATTGGTATTTTCATGTATATCATTCCTTTATAGTAATATCTTCATTATGTTAATTGTGTCGATTTCAAAAACATTTTTAAAGAGGAAGTATTATTACAGAAAAGATGAAACATCTGTCCAATTGAACACTTTTGTTCAAACTATGTTTAAAATAATTTGAGAATTATATTTAACAACTTGGCCCAAACTAGAAAAGTCAATTTATGTGTGCTGTTATGTAAGCATGGGAGGAGGGGTGAGAATTGGTTCAGAGAGAGTGATTCCAAATGGTTTTGATAACTATCTGTTTCCCTGCAGGTATTAAAACTTCAATGGCTTTTTCAAAACAAGATTCAAATAACTCATGTTCTTTCCAGGTTGTGGTTTTAGTTAATTATAAAAAACAAAGAAGAAAAAAATGTAAGGGCAGCTAGAAATAATCAATGGTAATGAAAGATGAGTGATCAAATATTCAGCTTTAAAGATTTCAAAGCATGGAAAGGTGATTTAATCTGTGATAATACCTTTAATGTCACACATGCAAAATTCAAGGCATTTATTATTGGTACCTGTCAAGGTTGAGGAGGTCATATACATTTTTTAAATAATGGGATAAATCATCTTTAATCATTTTCAAATGATCTTCTATAGCAAACCTGCAAATTCTGAATGATCAAAATTTTCCTGAGGTATTGCGTGATCATCAGCTTTATTATGCACCATAACAAGTGAGTTTCATATAAGGTATTACTACTTAAATATATGCATATTATAGCATTCATATCAATAGCTTACAATTCTAACAGGAGAGAGAGTTGTTGACTACTTAGTCAAAATGAGATGAAATGTTTTCACTTTATTAATCTATATGGTCTCACAGTCCCCTAATCTCCAGTGACCACCTGTATGTCGGTCACCCATTTCCCTAATTGACTCCTGAATATTATGATCACCACCAAATATTTCATCTCAAAATTTACTTATCCAACTATCATAAAGAAACCACCACCCTTTCTCCTCCCAGCCTCCTCATTCAACTGTATCCACTAAAACCATTCTTTGACTTCATTAGAACCTTAAGTTCAGTGATTCCTCAACTCCCTCAGAATCCGTAATTCTTATCCTTCCTTTGCATGCATACTCACCATTAAGCACTGCAGTTCCTCAGCTTATTACTGGCCCTCTGATCACTCAATTAATACTCTAAGTGACTCACTTTCAGAGTGACTCTGATCACTCAATTAATACTCTTTCATCCTTGTTTATAGCTTCAATTACTAGCTGTCTATGTCCAGCCCAAATCTCTCTTCAAGGCCTATATATTCCAACCCAATATTACAAAACCAAACTCATTTGCTTCACCCGTAAATCTGGTCCTTTATCAGTGTTCTCTCTCTTAGTGGGTAGGCCTCATCTCTTCAGTTTTACAAGCAAGAAATCTAGAAGGCATCTTCGAGACCACCTAGCTGCACAACATTTTTTCAAAACAATTGCCAGATCCTGTCCATTTTCTACTCTATCCTTCAAATTTGTCCACTTCTCCCCATCTCTACCACTCAAACTTAAGCTTTTAATGACCTGCCTGTATTAGTGAAATAAACCTCTATAGGTGCTCAAAGCATTTTATCTACCTCCTTCCTATCACTTGTTAGACTTGAAATTTCACAGTTTTACCATGATTATTTGAATAATGTCTGTATTTCCATAGGACCTACCCTATCCAATAAGATAGCCACCAGCCAAGTGTAGCTATTTACATTTAAATGAATTCAAATTAAATAATAATTCAGTTCCTTAGCAGCACTAGCTAGATTTCAAAAGCTCAATAGCCACACATGGCTAGTGGCTATGATGATGAACAGTACAGATAGACACACATTTCCACCATCACAAAAGTTCAATTGAATGATGCTTCACTGAAACATAAACTTTGTGAGAATAGGGATTATGTCTTTTTGTACCCCTCATCCACCACCTGGCTTATCACAGAGCCTGAAACATTGTAGGCTACACACACACACACACAGAGATAATTAATTAGTAAGAATAAGCATGAATACAATGGAACAATGACCAGAAATCACCTTCTGAGACTCCACACAGTGCTTGGTATATCACTTGCCATTCTTTAGCAGAGCCTCTGGAGAAAGCAAAGCAAAGTTTAGATATTTAAATCAAATGACAAAGAGGACTAAAAATTTGTGGTTCAAACTGTCACACTAAGCATCCTGTTTACCGCAATAGTTTCAATCTTTACAATGATTAACAAAAGGAAGTGACTTTTTCAAAATCAAAAAACTATCAGTGGTGGCAGAAATTCTTAATCTCTTTCCAAGAGTTTTTGCTGTTGTTGCTGTTAATCTTAAGTCTCGTTAACACCACTTACATAAGGTTATAAGCTAATAATGTAAACCTCACAGCATTTGTTGTTGAAAGAGATAAAAAGCAGAAAATATGCTTAATCTCCACCTATGAGCTACACTATACATATATGTTGCCCACTTGAAAATTATTTCATAATAGACTCTTCAATAAAATTTTACTCAAATAAAAAATTACATCAAATATTCATCAATCTGAGGATTGTGTCACCTCTTCCAAAAGCAATATAAAGCTTAAAATGTATTTAAAAGTTATAATTTCCTGGGAGTTTTAAGAATTTTAAACAATTTTAACAAAAACTGACATTGAAAATTGGCTGGAAAAAAAAAGCAGCACACCATGACAGCTAGAAATGAAGGAAAATCAGAATGGTGTACATGAAAGAATGAATCCAAGTTTTACATTTAATTCTGCCTCCAACTTACCCTCCCTAAATTTTCTGATCTGTATCTACACAGGAAGAGATACGGCTAGTTGTAATAACACTCAAATCAGCTGAAGAGAGAAAAGTGCCCTCCCTAAGAGCACATACCAGAATCACCTGTGAGGCTTTCTCAGCTACCTATTATTCCCATACCCCTCACTCCCTCTGGAGAGTCTAAAAAGCCTTGGCTACAGAGGCAGCTGGCTGTGTTGTGGTCACCTTCTATAGAGCTGAACTGTTGTTCGGAAAGACCACATTTCCCATCTTCCTTTGCATTTAGGTGGGACCTCCTGGCTGATTCTCACCAAGGAGACATGAGCAAAGGTTATGTATGTCACTTCTAAACTTAGGTAAAAAGCAGATGGACCTCCTCCATTCTCTCTTTCCCCATATCCCACTTTGCTGGGAACACCCAAGGCAACTTTTAAAGCTACTTGATGAAGAAAGTGGAGTGTCTATCAGCTTGAATCTCTGAGCAAAACATGGAGCCAGGCCCACTCCCCTCCAATCTAACCTCCACCCACCTCATACCCTCTTATCAGTAAAAAGCTTCCACTTTGTACTTTACTTAAATGAGAAAACAGATATTTATTGTGTGATATGGTTTGGCTCTGTGTCCCCACCCAAATCTCATCTTGAATTGTACTCCCATAATTCCCATATGTTGTTGGAGGGACCCGGTGGGAGATAATTCAATCATGGGGGTGCTTTCCCCCATACTGTTCTCATGATAGTGAATAAGTCTCACGAGATCTAACAGTTTCCACTTTTGTACCTTCCTCATTCCCTCTTTGTCTGCTGCCATCCATGTAAGACAGGATGTGCTCTTCATTGCCTTCCACCATGATTGTGAGGCTCCCCTAGCCACATGGAACTGTAAGTCCAATTAAACCTCTTTCTTTTGTAAATTGCCCAGTCTCGGGTATATCTTTATAAGCAGCATGAAAAAGGGCTAATACAGTGTGTTAATCCACTTATATGTGGAGATATATCTGCTATAGAAACTAGATTGACCTTAGCAAATACACAAATTGGGCCTACTCCTATACCACTGCCCATGATCAAGAGTTATTGCCATGGGGAGCCACCATTACTAACAAGAGTGCTTTATATACCTTAGATGTACTGAAGCAGAAAGAAGGTTGAAAATACTGATTGTAATATCTCCAACTTTGAGATATCAGTTATCACGGCTTAATTTACATTCACTTGTGCAAATGATCATTAACTTCATAGTATATTATATTATCTCTTCAAATGATTTGGAACATATCATGAGGTCAGTAAAATTTTCTGAATTTCCAGAAACCACACTGAAGACCACAGCTACTAGAGGACTCCCGGAAACATAAAGCCCATGTACTGCAAACTCTGGGAAAATCAAGTTGCTTGTAGTTCTTAAATACACTGTATCTTGTGAAGCCATGGTATCTGAGAAGATCTCGCTGGCTTTCTTCCCCTCTGTTCCTGTCAGCCAACAAGCTTCTTCTATGTTTTAAAACACAGCTCAGGCATTACCACCTGGCAGCACACTTCTCCCCACATTGACTTCTAGATAAAGTTAATAATTGCTATGTCTTGCCCTTTTCACACTATGTTTTAATTTAATGGTTTATACATCAATTCCCTCTTCCAGATTCACTAAGATTGAGTTTCACTCATCTCTGTATCCTCAGTCTGGCACAAAGCCAGTAATATTTAGACTTTAAACTTTTGTGAATCAATGAATGAATGAGTAGTTTTCCTCAGCTCATCCCACTGTACAAAGAGAAGAAACTAGAATAGTTTTTATGAATACATTAGTATGTATCAAATATCCAAAAAAATAGGTCAAAGAAGTGAAAGCATAGTACAGTATATGTGGTTCACGTAAGTACTGGGTGAGTCAATTTAATAAGTCCTTTTTTATTCATAAGGATTTTTAAACTGAATTGTCTCAATTTTGGGGGGAGTGGGAAAAGACAGGGTCTCTTTCTGTTCCCCAGACTAGAGTTCAGTGGCACCATCACAGCTCTCTATAACCTCAAACTCCTGGGCTCAAGCAATCCTCCTGCCTCCGCCTCCTGAGCAGCTGAGACTACAGGTGTGCCACTATGCCTGGCTAATTATTTTATTTTTATTTTTTTAGAGATGGGGGTCTCGCTATGTTGCCTAGGCTGGTCTCAAACTTCTGGCCTCAAGTGATTCTCCTGCCTGGGCCTCTCAAAGTACTGGGATTACAGGCATAAGCCACCATACCTGGCCTGAAATTTTTAATATTGTAGTTTAATTTCACGGTACAATAGAAATAAGCAACTATGCCTAAAAAGCACACATTGACAAATTATACTGAACATCCAAACTTATGTTACTTAGCTTATCTTATAAATTACTTAGCTAGATTGAATCTTGCTTTTTGCCATTGCTCTCTAATAGCAGGAAAGAATTCAAGAGACTTCAATCTACTTCAATGAATACATCTGGAGTCCCTAGGTAAGTGCCAAGCACTACTATCACCTGAGACATGGTGTATTTTTTCCTCTAATTCTGAGAGGAAAAAATATTGCATGGGATAATATAAAATGAGGCAAACTTTAAAGCCAAATACTTCTAATGAGGCCAAAAGGTTTTCAGAAGAAAGATGAGAATATGTTGGCTTACCTCAGGGCCCCTTAGTTGCAATAAATCTACCTTAGTGTTGCAAGGCACACAACCTAAAAGTAATCTCAGAATCTTTAGTGTGAAGATGTCAGCAAAGGCTCCAGTGCTAGCCTTCAGAACAGATTTTAAACTAACTTTACGTATCTAGAATGTCTTTTAAAGGCTCTTTTTTTTTGTTTTTTTTGGAGACGGAGTCTCGCTCTTTTAAAGGCTCTTAAATATTACAAGAAAGCTTCTAATACAGTTTCCTATGAGGGTGTTGGCAAACAAAAATGCCACTTTGGGACCTAACTCAGAAATTCATTGTTTGAGCCACAGAAGTACCTTAAAGGGAAATATGAAAATTAATTAACATTCCAGGGATCCCATGTAACCACAGCCACCTGGAGACACAATAGGCCCCACAATCTCCAGCCATTCATCCGTGCAGTGGTTTCTGAGTGGTTTGGTCCAGAACTGACCCTGAAGGTGTGCAAAGCCTGTCTGCTCTACCATAGTATAACTCTTGTAACTTCTCACAAATAATTATAGTGAGAGGGAGAAACAACTAAATAACATGTAAAATCAGGAAGAGGGAGGAGGAGGGATGAAATAGGAGAAAGTTTTATCTCAGGCCTACTAAGCAAGAAGACCGACTATGACAGCAATTATCACTAACATGTTCCACTTTTTGCTGGGGATTGTTCTATGCACTTTACATATTTGGAATCTTTTCATCTTTACAAGAATTCCACAAAGTGGGCATCATTATTATCTCAATTTTGTACATGAGGAAGCTGAAAGCACAGAGCAACTACCTTACCCACGGCCACATACCCACAAGCAGCAGAGTCTGGCAATTGTTTTTCCAGGTTTCATACTCTTGCTTTTCCCTACAGCTGCCTTCCTGTTGGGTATTTAGCATAGATTAACCTAGTGAGTATATAGTAAGTTAGTATCCCCCAAAAGTTCATACTCACCCAGAACACAGGAAATAGAGTCTTCTCTATTATATTCCCAGACATAATTATATTCCCAGACTTAATTCATTAAGATGAGGTCATACTGGATTAGAATGGGCCCTACATTCAATGACTGCTGTCCTTAAGAGGAGAGGACACACAGAAATATACATAAAGAAAGCCATGTGAAAGCAGAGACTGGAGTGATGCAGCCACAAACCAAACACCACCAGTGATCACCAGGAGCTACCAGAAGCTGGGAAAAGGCAAGAAAGGATTCTTTCCTAGCACTTTTAGAGGGAGTATGGCCCTGCCAACACCTTCATTTCAGACTTCTGGTCTTCAGAATGGTGAGGAAAATTATTTTCTGTTGTTTTAAGACACCAAGTTTGTAGTAATTTCTTACGGCAGTCCTAGGACAGTGACACAGAGTAAGGTCATGAAGAGTCGATAAGAACTATGAACACGGAGACATTATTCAAGCAAAAGATAAGGGTTTTTATAATGTTTTTAAAGAGAAGATATCTGACTTCGGTGAATGCTTTAATGAGCCACCATTGGATTTGATGAAAAGTCCTGTCTTCAGCTGCAGATACCTATCAGTCTACCCTTTCTTCATGACCGAGTATTTGAAATTAATTACTCTCTATAATAAAAGGATTGAAGCTGATTAAAAACTGGGGAATCATTAATATAAAGATGGTACAGAGACCCTTAAAAAAGGGTGATATTACAGATCATTGATGTAGAAAAAGAAGAGATGTTGATAGGAATAAAACCTTAAGAAGCTCTACTGCTTAGAAGTTTAGGATGAAAAGCAAGCACAAGAGACGGGGCCACTGAGAGAAGAAAGATAACCAGGAGAGAAGAGCATCACAGAGATCATGCAAAAATAAAGTTTAAGAAGGACAGGTTTAAACAATGCTTACTGAATGAATTAATAGGAACCAAAAAAAAAACAATTTCAAATGTGATGTATAAAATATCAGACACATACACACTAACTAATATGTTAAATTTACCCTTACAAAATTCCATAATTCTGACATACTATCGAACCTTCTAATTCAGTGTAGAAAGTGCAATTCTTATGAAAAATATCTTCTTGTCTCCTGTTACAGGGCAACAACAGCTCAAATTTCCTCTACTTATTTGCTGTGGACCCTTCCCCAAGACCTTTACTTTTTTTTGTTTTTTCTTTTTTTTTTTTTTTTTTTTTTTTTTTTTAAAGACAGGGTCTCACTGCATTGCCCATGTTGGAGGGCCATGGCTATTCACAGGTAAGAGCATTGCACACTACAGCCTCAAACTTCTGGCCTCAAGCAATGCTCCCACCTCAACCTCCCAAATATCTGCGAATACAGGTGCATGCCACCACACCTGGCTTAAGACTTTTTACCTTTTAATTTATAGAGACCTCAGACATGTACATTCATATTCATTTTACTACTAGATAGAAAAAGGAGTATTAAATTAGGCACTGAGGACACAGAGGTTTCCCAGGCTAGTATACAAGTTGGCATCTCTTCACTGAATGAATTAATAGATTAATGACAAACACATACAAGCAAACCGTAACAAATAGGAATATTTTTACATGCAACGATACACACATGATAACAACATGCTATGGACTCTAGGGTGCCGTGGAGTTAGCCTCTAACTCTACCTAGAGGTTCTGGTAAGGGCTTCCCTGAGACAGAAGGCATTTCTTGATTTACATCTTAATAGACGAGTTACTGAGGCAAAAGGGGAATGGAGAAGAGAGGAGCTTTGGACAGACAGAAAGGACCGAGCATATGCACAGGCATTACCTTATTTGCTGCCTGAGTGCTGAACTGAAAGCTCCTAACATAGAACAGACAACCAAATAAATATTGCCTGTTTAATGAACTCTTCAAAAATGGATAATGTTGATTCCTGTTAACATAGCATGATTCCCTTTCACCTGTTATAGGCAATGCCATTCTGGGTCAAAAACAAAAAGATGCCTTTCTCTCCTTTAAAACAGTAGCATTGCCAATGACGTATTTCTAGGGTTTATGGTATAGTCAATGCCTCTTCATGAAAGGAGTGTGTCAGAATACACTGAGAAGCTTTTCCACGATGCACTTATCCAGCTACCACCTCCAAAATTCTAAAGTAACACATCTAGGATAAAGCATAGGCATGTGCATTCTGATTGTTCTATTGCACATCCCACAGTTACTGATCTGAAGCTGAGAACTGTGATGTACACATTTATGCTGAGAAGTACTCAAAAGTGATAGCAATGAAACATTCTGAGATATCTATATGGAGACAGGAAGAATAATCCCTACAGAGAGATAATCCAAGAGTTGCTCTACAAAACCCATAAATTAACTCAATTATAATAGTTATAATATAAATGATCTTGTTTGTGTTAAGGAGCCAAAATTATGAGTTATTCATAGTCATTAGGAACTGTTTTTAAACTATAAGCTAATTATAAAAACTATAGTTTTCAAACTGTTAGCTAATTACTCTTTGCATTAGTAATCAGTAGTCTTCACTACCCTAAATATATGATTGTCTTCAAGTGTTTACTTCAACAATCTATCAGGCCAAGGAGATACAAAATGAAAGGATGCATCTTTCTTTTTCTATTATTATTATACTTTAAGGTCTGGGATATATGTGCAGAACGTGCTGGTTTGTTACATAGGTATATATGTGTCATGGTGGTTTGCTGCACCCGTCAACCCATCATCTAGGTTTTAAGCCCCACATGCATTAGGTATTTGGAAAGGATGCATCTTTCATAAATGAACAGTCAGGAAGACTACTGGCCAGTCATAAAATGTTTTTACTTTAGGGCTGTTGCCCCTTAAGAGTGAATACTTTATGTGTTTGTTTTTTCCCCATATAAGACACGAATAAATGTGTGGTCTGAAATGCATCAGTATTCAGACTGCGCTTTTGACATAACAAAAGTAATAAGTACCATGCAAAACAAAAAATGGTTTTAATTTTAATTTGGTCTCCAAGGGCATTTTCAAGGCATGTACCCATACAGATTTTCAAATCAACTAGACTTAACTCTAAACTGGCTGACTTACCCAATATATCAACAGAAAGAAAATATCAATCTAAGGAGCTATTTATCTTTAGCAGCCAGGAAAAAGTAGAGTCATTGGAGATAATGTGAATTATATCCAAACACTATTCACAGAAGAAAAATCTTGGCTGAGCAGGAACTAGGAGTCTCCTTGACAAAAACAGAACAAACCTTAGAAATACTTCTTTAAAATCATCATTACTTTGTTCATCTTATTATCCATTAATTACTCCTTTGTAGCTTGATATTTTCCTAAAGGAAAATAAATGTCTATTCGTGACAAAAAAAAAAAAAAGAATAAACAAAAGAAGAATTCCACTATTTAAATGTTAAAATACATCACTGTTCTCTTAGTAAAAGTTCCAAATTTTCCATCAAGATAAAGAAGTAAATGCAAAGAAAATCAGAGAGACAGGGATACTGTCCTGCCCACCACAAGCCCAGCAGTGATAAAGTTAGCCTCTAGTTAAGCCATAGAAGCCAGAGGTAGGCAGGCATCCTGTGTGAGACGTCCTGAGTATCACAGCTGCCAGGCTATGCAAAGGAATGCAGAACGTGCAACAAAATCCCAATGACAGCCGGTGTCTTTGGGGTACAATACATAATGAAATTTATTAAAAGGGAAAATGTTTAAAGAACATTATGTAAATGTAAGATCTGAGTAGTCAAAAAAAGCCTTAAAAAGCCTTATTTTCATAAAACTCAACTTGACAGAAAATATAGATTATTTTTCACTGATTAAGCTGTAAAAAATATTCAGTTATTAAGAGCTGTTTTTAAACTATAAGCTAATTATAAAAACTATAGTTTTCAAATTGTTAGCCATTACTGTTTGCATTAGTAATCAGTTGTCTTCACTACAGAAGCAATACCAAATGGCAATAAGGTCTACATGTTCTAGATAAAATTTAAATTGGGATATTTGCTATGCCTGTCTAAAGCAGTCCAGTGAAAAATAAAACATAATTTGCTATTTTTTGAATAAAAGCAAGAAAATTCATTTAAATTAATTCATGCTATTAGGCCAGGTAAGAAATTCATCATGCCTTTCTAACCATCTTGATCATCTTAAACTAAAAGAAAATTTTCCCCATCTTTGGACAATATCTGTAAAGGAATTCACAAACAGAATATGACTTAAATGAAGACATCTATTTTCAAATAATTTATCCAAAACAATTCTCATGGTGTTTGCCAAAAATAGAAATTATTTAAAGCTTCCAAGACTTTTAAAGCTCAGAGTTATTGAAAAGAGAATCCTTAAAATTTAGGGCAGACCATTTCATAAAATACTGCTTTTATTTTCTTGTGGCATTTAAAGTATACACATAGAATGCTGAGGGATGATGAAGAAAAACAAATGATAGGAGTGCAATATTCCAAGTTCGTTTTTCTCGACATTTACTATGTTGTGGAATAAAGCAAGCCAATGCTAAAAAGTGAGTAGGTTCAAAACCAATCTTTTTCATATATAAGTTTTTTACAATGTAATATATTTTAAAACCTCAGAGAACTTACCTCCACAATTGCTACCACAGAAAATTATGTTGCTCATCATTGATTAGCACATCTTTCATTTTAGAATAAGCAAAAGAATGTTTCACAACTGAACAAAGGTTTACAGTCTTTGATTTCTCTTACAGGTAATTCACAAATCACCTGAGGTGGCTGAATTAAAACTAACACAGCTCATTACTGCAAAAGCAATGCCATAAATAATATTCACCAATAACTTAAGTAAGGGATAAGTAATTTCAGCAAATTTAATATTCTGAATCCCTATCTGCTATCACATTAATATATATTGTTTACCACTTCTTAGAATAACAGACTAACATTAACATTAAATCTAGCTGAAAGGGCAAAGTGCCTGAATGGTATTAGTACTTCAAAGTCACTATTATAGGCATTAATTATTATTATTATAGTGCATCTGTAAGTCATATGACTACACAGACATTGAAATGTTCTTATGCAACGGAACGCATTTCTACAGCAAATCATTGATGTCAGATTGCTATCTAATGATATGATGTGTACCAATTGTTTAAAATATAAAGAATGACACAAACATGAAGTATTATTGTATGGAATACACATTTGAAATTTTTTAACTTCCTGAAAATAAGAATTCCATATCATCATAAGATATAAAGGAGATGTTACTGTCTATTAAAATGTAGGTTTATAAAATAAAAGAGGGATGTGTACATATTTATTCACTTCACTAAGTGTATTAGTTTGCTAGGGCTGCTGTGACAAATACCACACATTGGATGGCTTAAAGAACAGCAATTTATTTGCTCACTATTCTGGAGGCTGGAAGTCTGGGATCAAGGTGTCCACAGGGCTGCTTTCTTCTGAGGCCTCCCTCCTTGCATTGCAGATGGCTGTCCTTTCTGTGTGTTTTCACCTGGTCCTTCCTCTCTACTGTGTCCTAACACCTTCTTCTTATAAGGACACCAGTCATACCGGATTAAGGCCTACCCCCAATGACTTCATTTAAACCCAATCACCTCCTTAAAGACACTATGTCCAAATACAATCACATTTTAATTTCAACGTATAAATTATAAGGGATATAATTCAGCCCATAACACTAAGCATCTGCTGTATAAAATTCATAACCGAATTCTTTTAAAAATACTGGACCACAGAAACATCTTAAAAGATTGTCTTTTTAAAAAAAAAAAAAGTAAGTAATATACAACTTTACAAGAATATAAATTTTTATGGAAGTAATTTGTCCTTATTTTTTCAAAAAGACTTTTGAGGCAATTTACATGATTAAGAATTAAATAGAGCAGCAACAAGAACAAAAGCAAACACAGAAATCAGAAACTATAGACACTATAGAGACAGGAGTATAATAAGTTCATTCTTTTCTGTCTGATCGAATACTAAACTTAACTAAACTAACTGGGACTCGGGGATAAAAAAGGGGGTAAGGGGTTAAATTGAATTCTTACTTTTCAAACAAAGGTAGCTGACAAACTTGTTCAGAAAAATACACTTTGCCCTAAGTTCTAGAAGGCAAGTAAGGAACAGATTAATATAGAAGCATCTAATTAATTTCTATGCCATAACTTTATTTTGCATATAATATGCACTTAGTCATGCTACATACATAAACTAACAGGCTATGAAAAAGCACTCATTCTTTATCCATTTATTTCTTCATTCAACAAATATTACTGCACCCTGCTATGTGCCAAGCATTACACACTGGTGAAGCAGAGATCAAAACCTAGCCCTCACAGAGCTTCTGTTCTAGTGAACAGAGCATACTTGGAGAACATCAAGATTGAATTCAGTAGTCTGCAGAGACTGAATTGAGAATAAGCAAAACAAAGAAAACATTTCCGGTTACACTCTCAACCATTCCATCATTAAAGTGAAGATGAGTACAGCAGAGATTAGCAAAGGAGACTGCAAGGGTTTAAAGTTTGTCCTTTCTTCAAAATAGTAAGTTAATTTTAAATTTAATATATTCAAAGAGATATGAAATTCCCAACATATGTATTAAGCAATAACTCAAAGATTAAATGATTCTACTTTGTATAGAACAGACTATATCTTAAGCTGTTTAATACTTCAGAAAAAAACAGAAAAATTCAGAAATATTTACTAAATATTAACATTTTGCTATTTAGGCTTCAGAATGTTTACTTTTGTCAGAAAGAAAATGTTCTAGATAATAGCTAAAACACTACCACTAAGTGCTGCCATCATCCTTCTCACTCTCTTCCTCTCTAGAGATAAATAATTTTCAGAATATAATTTCATTCAGGTTTTTTGTTTTAATATGTGTGAATGCCTAGATATAACAGACACAATTGTGTTCTGTGGGCCAAACTTTTACATAAATGGCATTATATTACATGAATTATTTCCAGTTTGTTTTTTTCCCCATCTTCTCTCTCTCTCTCTCTCTCTCTCTCTCTCTCTCTCTCTCTCTCTGTGTGTGTGTGTGTGTGTGTGTGTGTGTGTGTGAATTGAATTTCCATTGATACAGGTATAAATATAATTCATTCACTTCAACTGCTATATTCGCAGCATAAACTTGTGTGTTATTAATTACTCAAGAGAGGGATAGTCAAGTTGTTTCCTTTAAATACACCCCACACACACACACACACACACACACACACACACACACACACCATGCAGTCTGCAGAGCCCTCTTAACCAGTCTATTGTTGAAATGAACCAGAGTATGTATAGCAGAGATCAGATATATCTTCATATGAATATATACCTATGTGACTATATGTCTAATCTTTGCTATACTCCATTTTGTACACACACATATACAAGTAGTACAATGAACACTCTGGTGCAAGTGTTCTTGCCCATGTTCAGGAGAAGAGTCCCTCCAGGGCAGATGCATAGCTATGGAAGTGTTGGGTCAGAGGATACACACATTTTCTGCTTTACAGGGAACTGTCGAATTGCTTTCCCAAGAGAAAGAAAAGAATTCCTCTTCTGCCATATTCAGGCCAACTTTGGAGATATCAGATATCAACTATTTTTTTGCCAATTTGACGGGTTTAAAGGGATATTTCATTGTTGTTTTAATTTGTATTTCCTAGGTTATAGACAAGCTTTTGAACTGATTAAGTCAATTTCAGGGAAGTGAATACATGGTCAAGAATATCTCTCAGTCATGTTAAATATAGTCTAAATCTTCAAGGTCGTTCTCTGTATGTTCTCACCACACTCAACTGCCAGCAGTAATAAACTGCCATCCGGTCTCTCGGGCCCTCTCAAGATCTGAAAACAAAGATCTAACAATATTTTAGGCACTCCTTCTCCACAAGGAAGGAGTCTTATTCTGACTGAGATCTAAGAATAGCCTATTAGAAGATTTTACATCATGTTGCACCATTTAAACAAAATTTTCACAAAACAATGCTTATCCTTACAGGTGAGGCATTCTGATATTTTCGATTTTACTGTATTTTAATCTATGTATTTGCTAGTTGAAACCCACTATATTGATGTCATGACCCCATTAATAGGTCACAACACTCAATTTGGAAACATTAAATCTCTTCAATGACCAATGTACCCAGGAAGCAGAGAATACTTGTTTGAGTTTCAACCTATGAGCTGAGGGCCCCTACCAACCCTGCACAAAGTATTAACAGAAAAGGACACCTAACTGGCCCTCTGCCCAAGGGGTTCCAGGGTTGGAACCATCAGTGTTACAAGACCTTAGTCTACTTTTCAAATGGATGTGCAAAGCTTAGCATCACGGGAGGTCTGACACTCTTGGGGCATATTTTTTGGGCAACTTTATTTGGTGCTTTTTGTTTTCAGGTTGGTTTTTGCTTTACTGTTTGGTAAACTGTCTCAAAGATTCCAGAGATATGGGTGAGGACTATGTATTTTTAAAACATCTAGAAGTATACCCTTTTTTGGTAAGTTATTTGGGTTCCCAAGATTTGCCATAACAAAATTAACAAAATTGTTTCCACACCCCTAAAAAGTAATCAAATTGCTTACTACTTGATATTCTGACTATTCAAATAATACAGACAGCTTCTATGCTGTCCCAACTTCTGCCTCAAATAACATATATATCTGTACTCTTGAACAAAATAATCAGGTTTAGGACTTATTTTAAATTGCTTTTGTTAACTTTCCTTATTCTGAAACTCTGCCCTTGTTTTTAATACACTTGCATTGTATTTAGCTGAGACTAGGCATTGAAAATTTCTGAAGTCATCATCATATTTGTATGTACAAATTAAAACTTAAATTGTGCCTTTACAATTTTGCATTTACAAATACAGAACTTAACACTCTGATTAACATGTAAAATGTTCTTAAAACTTATTTCTGTTAGGCTATTTTTTTTTTTTTTTTGCTGGCCACTTTATCCTCTATTTCCATGTTACCGGATGCTATGTAAAAATACACCATCCAGCTAATTGACATCTTAGGTTCAAGTTATACACAAAGCCAGCACTGAAGCAGATTTGGGAACCTAGCGCATTACACTGTGGTGTCTTTCTAAAATGTGCATGCACTCAGCATGGAATGTTATGACTGGATAAGTTACAGGTTTCCAAATTAAAAAAAAAAAATCCTGTTTTCATTCCAATCTTGTTTATGCAAAGATTCTGAGGATTAGAACTGGCAGGTTATTTCTAACCCTTGCCTTTTCTCCCACCTTCTTTAAGTTCCTCTCTCTTGCTGCAAATCTAGAAGTGACAACCTGCTATTTTCTAGAACTGTACGGTGGTAATTCGAATAGCAAGCTCTGTGCCTGGTATAGATTGTCAGAAATATATACCTGAAACTATAATTGTACCATGTGTGGGCGAACAGGGAAACTTAGTTGACATCAACAGTATTTATAGGGAGAAAACATGCTCAGTTTAATTCCAGTACAGACATTCCCATTTCAAAAGGAAAAGTTTTAATTTCCTCCTTAACTTTGACAGTGGCTATAATAAATTTTCTCAAATTTTCATGAATTTGAATTAGGAAATTTCACGTTTCTAATGAAAACTTTCTTAAACACCAGTTATAAAACATCAACGCTTCTTTTGCTGCATCTCAAAAAATAGAAATATACCACATTTAACAGGAGGTCATATATTACTAGGAAGAGATAATACTATCGGAAGCCTTCACATCTTTATATTCATATTTGCACTTCATATTCAACCATATAATTTCCCAGAAGTGTCATATAAATCATATATATATGATTTATATATAATATATATGATTTAAATATATATGTGTGTGTGTATGTGTGTGTGTATATATATACATATATGATTTAAAGAAAATCCAAAGCATTAGTCAAACTATCTTACTCATCTTTGTAGTGGCCTGAAAAGTTGTAGTGGCCTGAAAAGTCAGGTCCTAATGGCTGGTACCTGTAAGTGTTATGTTATTTTAAAAAAGAGTTTGTGGAGATGTGATTAGATTAAGGATTTTGTGGTGGGAAGACTATCCTAGATTATCCACATAGGCCCTAAATGCCACCACGTGTCCTCATGAGAGGGAGGCAGAGGGAAATTGCACACACAGAAGAAGAGAAGGTAATGTGACCAGAGAGGAAGAGACTAGACCGATGCAAACCACAAGCCAAGGAATGCCAGCAGCCACCAGAGGCTGGATAAGGCAAGGAATGAGTTACCTCCTAGAACATCCAGGGGTTGCACAGCCCTGCTGACACCTTGATTCCAACTCAGGGACAACGATTTTGGACTTTGGTCTTCCAGAACTATGAGAGAATACATTTCAGTTGTTTAAATCCACTAAATTTGTGTAATTTGTAACAGCAGCTTCAAGAAATTAATACAACTATACAAGCTATTACCTCAGGATAATGTACTGAACTTTCTGATTACATTAATAAATTTGAGAGAGAGGGACCCACAACCACTTGAGAGAAATGAATGATCCTATTTTAGTGTGCTGGAGAGTCTGAGAAGTATTTTTGAAAGAACCAGGCCTAGAAAAATGAAGTGTTTAAAGTGTATATTAGTCTGTTCTCATACTGCTATGAAGAAATATCTGAGACTGGGTAATTTACAAAGAAAAGAGTTTAATTGACTCACAGTTCCACATTGCTGGGAGGCCTCAGAAAGCTAACAATCATGGTGGAAGAGGAAGCAAACACGTCCTTCTTCACATGGTGGCAGGAAAAAGAAACGCTGAGCAAAGGAGAGGAAAGCCCCTTGTAAAACCATCAGATCTCATGAGAAGTCTCTCGCTATCCCCAAGAACAGCATGGGGGAACTGCCCCCATAATCTAATCATGTCCCATGAGGTGCCTCCCGTGACAAGTGACGATTATGGGAACTACAATTCAAGATGAGATTTGGATGGGGGCAAGCCAAACCATATCAAAGTGTCAGAGCCAAGAAGAGAATATCTAGTCTAAGTAGCAAATTTAAACTACATTTAAAATCTTTCAGAAAATAACTTGTCAGGACTGCACTTGGTAGCTCATGCCTGCAATCTCAGCCCCTTGGGAGGCTGAGGAAGGAGGACAGCTTGAGGCCAGGAGTTAAAGACCAGCCTGGGTAACATAGTGAGACTCCCATCTCTAGAAAAAAATTTTTAAAAAACAATCCAAGTATGGTAGCATGCACGTGTAGTCCCAGCTATTCAGGAGGCTGAGGTAGGAGGGTCCCTTGAGCCTAGGAGTTTGAGGTTGCAGTGAGCCATGACTGTGCCACTGCACTCAGCCTGGGCAACAGAGAAAGACCCAGTCTCAAAAAAAAAAAAAAAAAAAAAAAAGGAAAAGAATTTGTCAGTAATTATCAAGAGCATTAAAGTACTCCTACCCTTGGACTCAGTAATTTTGTTGCTAAGAACCAATACTAAGAATATATACCCAAATCAGATCAAATCTTATAAATTAAGATGTTCCTCTCATAACACACACCTCATAATATCAAAAACTAGAAACAATCTAAACATCCAAGTATAGAAGAGCTAAGTAAGCCACAGTATGTCTTCTTGGCTGAACATCTTATACATCTATCAAAAATAATGTTTACAAAAAATCTGGACCAAAACAAAAAAACCCTTATGTTATACTATTACATGTACAAAGCAACATACAGAAGAACATGTACATTATTGCCTTTCTCATTTAAAATTCATAGAAAAAAAGAAATATGTAAGATTATAGCTAACTTTTTCTTTATTTCAATTCTTTTAACAGTTTACTAAGTTACACCAGATACTCGGTGGTAAGCGAGGACTACAAAAGGGTAATTGGCAGATGCAAATGCTCCAATTTTCTGGGTGAATGAAAGACAGAAGAACAGTACCTTAACAGCCAAAATTCCCAAATGCCTTTCAATGCATCGCATTATCTATAATGATTTTGAATATCCATGAGTCACGCGGGAATAGATAACACTATCGCTTATTTACATTGGGAGCACCCAAGGCACAAAAGGTTTCGGAGTCCACGCAGGGTCATCCTATATAAGCAGGAAGAGCTGGGACAGAAGCCAAGTCATGTCATTCCAGACTGGGGCTTTAATCCCCCTTTCCAAGGTGATGGTGCAGCAGCAGGGCCAGACCTTGTCATGGAGAGCAGGCAGCTCTTCTTATCAGAGAGCTTCAGAAAAACAAGGTCAAGGCCTCAAACCCACTCTGACTGGCGGATATTTACATATGCAAAGCCTGTGAGGAAAAATATCTCAGGCTTCCCTAGGATCCTTTCAGATTCATGAACAAGCCAAAGTATAAATAAATCATACTTTCATAAATGTTGCCTACTAAACATACAGTAATCATAAATACTATGGAGATACTAAATCTTTCAAAGCAGTACCCTCTATTCATTTCACTTATTTTTGATTCAGGATATAGTTTATATTAACTTATTGATCCAAGCCTCTCCTTACAATAGGGTCTTACTTTGGCACTTAATCATTTTCTAAAATAGTCACATATTCTAAGAGCCAATAATTTTCTACAAAGGCTTGCTTATACCTGTATTTTCACTTTTAGGAACAAATGAAAAAATAACTCCTGCAAAAGTCTACCTAAAAACATGCAAAAAAAGTTATAATTACAAATTGGGTTTCTTTCAAAATGTTTACATTTTCATTCAGGATTATAGAACCAATTCATAGGTATTTTATATTTATACATATGCTCTAGGGAGCTCTATTTTTTTACACTGTTTTGAGCTTGAGAAGTTCCCAGCATTAACATATAATCAAAGAAATTACATAATTAACTGGTGAAAAAAGGATCATAGTCAAATTCAAGCTAATTTTCAACTTTCAGATTTAATTCAGCAAACTCAGGGTATTAAAACATTAATCACATAAAGTCATCTCTCAAATGTTAATAAAAATCTTCATTCTCAAATATTTTTCTGTACTGAAACAGATACTTTGATCATCAAGCCTAGATTTAACTGTCAAAAATAATGTACTCTTGGGCTACGTATATATGCACAGACTTATATATGACTAATTTGAGAAGTTACATCAACTTCAACAAAGCAACAAGAGGATAAACTTTTTTCAAACTCCTAAAGAAAGATATTATTCATTTTCACCCTTTGAGTTAGTATTAGCAAAGATATATTTTTACAAATCCCAAAAGAGCTTTTAACTAGGAGTACGTCATTGAACGAAAAATAAATCTGTAGAAGTAGAAAGTTTTACTGCTATCCTTGCTAAAAGATTGCTAGTTACACCTAAAAAGTCATACTGGTGAGAAAGTTCACAAAAAGTGTATTAAATATATATGTATATTTGTGTCGCCAGAAGAATTTAACTCAAATGCTAACAGAAGCTCTCTCAAGACATCCTAAAGATAGCCATACATTGGTTAGTTTCCTTTCCTTTTATCACTTGTGTGTTTGTATCACAGTTTTAGCATTAACTAAAGCATCTAGTCTGATCACTTCCATCTATTTTAGAATACTAACAAGATGATTCTAATAACCAAACAAAAAGAAACATGAGTTTAGAAAAAAATTCTAATTGTTTTGTTTAATAATTATATGCTATATAGAGCCTATTTTTAAAAAAAAAAAGATGTCACACACCTCATAAATACCAAGATATTTCTTAATAATTATTTTGAAGTGTCATAAGTTCACATTTAACAAATGAATTGCCTCTAACATACCAAAATCAAAATAATTTTTCTTCATTCAACTGCCTATTAGAACAATTCTTAAAAGAACCTGAATATGTAATTTAACAACAGAGCTGAAGTGCAGCAGGCTGAGACTTCTTCATGAATTGGTTTTTAGAATACTAGATACGTTTGTCTAAAATCTCCAAGGTTTTGTTAAAAAAAAGACAAACATTTCCATTTTCTCATAGATTATAAATCAAAGAAAAATTTAAGGCAGCTATATAAACAGTTCACTGACTGCATCTGTTGTGAAAGACACAATGATGTCTAATGTAGAGCATTTAGCCTATTCACCTCTGTGCTGCCATCTTTGAATAAACACGTCTTAAAGCACCATTAATCCAAGCAATGAGGGACATTTTTCTTTCAAGAACAAACACATTTTCAACTTTGGACTAGCCATACAACTGTAAAATCAAGCAGAAAAAAGAATTTTGTGATACTTGTTTACATTAAAAGTTGAACATGGTACTATCAAGTCTCTCCAACGTGAAGATGCATTGAAGAACTTAAGAGACATTAATATTAACTATTTTCTTCTCTACTGTTATTCTTCTGTATCATGGTACTTGCAGAATAACTTTTCTGCCTAATACTCAGAGAACCCAAAGGAGGAAATTAGTAGTTTCATCATGAATTTAAAACAACTTTAAAAATCAAATAGTGATCAAAGGAACTTATGTTATTTATACAGCCATTTAAAGAAGTATGTTAAGATGTGAAAGAAAAAAAAAACAAACTAGCATACAGAGCTGCTTCTCTCAGTATTCAGCGCCCAAGAAAACCAAGTCTGAAGAAATACAACAAGTTTACTTTCCTCAAATAATTCCAAACTAACAAAAAATCAAATCAACAATTCCCTTTTAGAAAAATGATCAAAAGATATCTCAGGGAAAATAAATGCCTAGTTTTACAAATATCTTTTAAACCGTTCTATTGGGAACAATATGCAAAATAGAGTATTCTCAAAAGGAAATCCTTAAAAAGTCAATCCTTTAAAATAAAATAAGGAAAAAATGTGGACCAAGATCAGATATCACAACATTGCCCTGAGACTATATGGAAACTCCTATGTAAATGGTAATTAGGGATTTCTCGCTTTCTCTCTCTCTCTCTCTCTCTCTTTTAAAGGCCATAATGGCTATGTTTGTTGAGGGAAAAAAGGTGGGGAAAGAAGGTATAAATGCTTACTGTTTAAGAAAAGCTGGTCTGTGCCAATATATTGGAGAAACTATTCAAGAACAGTTGATCTATGTGAAAATGTAACCCCTGAAATGTTGCCAAGGTCACAGAGACCCAGGGTGATCTCCAACACACAATGAGTACCATTTGTGTATTTGTAAAGAGCACTTGGGTAGTGGGTTATTTTTGCATTATGCATCTCGTTGGAAAAAAGCATGGAAAAGAAAATGCAGACTGGTTGTGCTTTTACAGTATTTCATTTCACTATCCTTCCTATGGGGTAACTAAAATATTAGCAGTGCCCTGCTTATGAGATATATGTGATCCCTTTCAAGGTGGGCGTTAGCAGCAGTGTTTTTAAGTGAAATACGAGAGCAACATTACAATTTCCAAATTCAATTTCAATAATTACATTAACATGACAAGTTTCTCAAGAACTGCCAAGGACAACAAAACTGAACTGTTTACCTTGAGTAGCACATTTCACTGTGGGACTCAAATTTTATACCACAGCCCACTTTATGTTGTTATCCATTTCAAACACTGCCACGCAGCAGTGGGTTCTCTCCACCATTTCCACCTTTTTGTTTGTTTGTTTGTTTGTTTAATATCATCCATTTACATTTTGCCTTCTACTGGTGGTTCTCAGAACACCATTTTATAGGAATGGAAAGGCACCAAGAAATTTCACCTCAAGTCATGTGAGACTGCAGCTATAGAACGCACAAACCCAGTTCCTGAGTGTTGAATAAGGAACATTTCTCTCTCACTGATTAGAGAAAGCCAATTTAAATTTCTCTTTATATGAGAAAGAACCAGCCAGTCTTTATTAGCATGGTACTAAAATGTGTGTCCCAAATTTGTGAAATTTTTAAAAAAAAGAACAAGAGAAGTCATATTTTCTCTAAGAACATATGCACGTATTTCTTCTTGGGAAGCCCATACACAACATGGGGAAGAGTCCACTTCACACAAATTTGCTTTCTAATATTTAAAAGGCATTGAGGTAAAGCCTCATTAAGAAAGACGGAAATGGTCCATTACTACAGACAGAGAAGGCCTTTCCTGGGATGGACTATAAACACTAAGTGCAAAGTCTAGAGCCAAAGGAGAATGTTAGGTTTGCAAGTCTGCCTCTTCCAGAAGGAGAAAATATTATTTCAGATGTTATGACTCATTATTTTTCATTTTTTAATCTTTTCATGTTTTATATTCATTTATATTATAAAGGAAGATTTTTATTTTAAGCATATTTCACATTATATTTTCCTTTTGCTAATACAAGTTAGTGACACTATACCAAAAAAAACCTAAAATTGTTCTTATAATCATTAACAACAATTTAAATGTACTGAACTTCATAGTGCTAGATTTTTTGCTCCTGCAATCTTCATGAAAACCCTGCAGGACTGATATCCCCACTTTACAGATGAACAAACTGAAGCTCAGAATATAAAATTACTCAAACTGAACTCCAAAGTTCGTTATCCCACATTTCCTCAGGAAATAGTACATTCACATACCATTGACAAAATGCATTAAAATATACAAAACTTGAGTTGGAAGCTTACCTAATAAATTGTAAAAGATTTTCAACAAACTACACCTCTACTAATTCACCTACTCAAAAGCTGATAGTTAAATGAAACCTGAGAAAATGATCTGGGATATTTCTCCATCTCTCACTAAACAAATGCTTGTGGGTCTTTAAAGGTCCAGTTCAAGTATCACATCTTCTGTAAAGTCTCCTTACTCTCCATACCAATAGAATTACTTCTTTACTGGGTTATAGAATTTATTTAATGATTAAACATGACTAAATATTACCCTTTTTTTGGTCTTCAGCTCCCGGTACAGTACATCATACTTGTTCAATAAATCCTTGTGTTCAATAAATGCTTGTTAAAAGTATATATGAACAAACAACAGCTCAACTATGAGATCAGATAAAATCTCATCTCACATAATTATAACTACAAGTTAAATCTTGTATTAAAGCTCCTCTAACTTTAACACGTATATAAATCACGTGGAGATCTTATTAAAAGGTAGATTCAGATTCAGTGGGTCTGGGGTGAAACGTGCATTTCCAGTAAGCTCACAGCTGGTGGCACTGCTGTTGGTTCCCAGACCAACCACCCTGTGGGTAGCAAGAACGTAATCTACTGGGACAACACATTCCAGACTTGGTGAATTGTTTAGAAAGCCGTATGTTCCTCTGGGATGTTAACCTCCATTTAGACCTGGCACCAAACCTCAACTTATTAAACTTAAAAACTACGAGCAATTACGAGTTTATGTGAATTTCCCTAAATGAGACATGAGTTTTTTTGAAAAGGACCACTCTTAATGAAGTTTGCAAGTACAGCCCCAAGACAGTGCTTTATATGTCAGAGGGACTCAATTTAATATTAAAGTAAATTAAAAAATTAAGTACTTGAGGGTAAAAACTATCACTGATTTGTCTCTTTGGCACAGGGCTTGGCATGGTGCCTCAAACACAAGAGAGCCTCAATATATAAATGCTGAATGAATGAATAAACAAACAGGCAAACCATTCTTTCTCTGTAAAGCATGAAGTTTTTATCATCCTCATCAATGCCAATTTGAGGCACTTGATCAAAATTGTAACTGATCTGGTAAGCCCTAGATATTAATAAATCTGCAATGTTCTAGGAGTCATACAATCCCTATGCTATTCCATTTTTGAATGTTACCTTTTGTTTAGTTTTTCCTAATTCTACATACGCTGCCATTCCAACATTTCCTTTTTGCTGTGCCAGGATTAGAATGTGTGGCCACTACTGTTTTAAGCTCAGGATTACTGCCACTTCAAAAACCACTAGTACCGAAAAGATCACTGTTAACCATATGATGAAAGCCACTATAATACTTCTTAAGTTTTTACTTTTAAGTATCATTTACCTTTTAAGTTTCAAAGTCTTAATTTTACATGTACAAAAACTACTAGAAGATACGAATAAAACTTCACATTTATTTTTCATATATGTATCTGTTAATAGGCTTTTGTTATCAGAATCCAAGAGTATTTATCTGCAGAAAATTACTTCTCATAATATTCAAAAGAGGATGTGATTGTTTCATAGAACCAAGTTTTATTGCTTTATCTCTGTACATTTCAGCAATAAGATGTAAGTGGAATGTATAGTGGGAAAGTGTTTAAGTTACCAAACAAGCTATTAAGTGTTTAATGTACCACACAAATACTAACCACTTACTATGTACAATGCACATATTAGGATATTGTGAGAAATATAAAGATAATATCTCAATAAAGCTATGAGAAGATATAGACAACAAAATTGCAACAATAGAAAAGGTTAAAAAACTGTTTTCCAATTACTATTTTCCAACTACATTTTAAAATAAATTAAGTTTTAGGGGCACATGCTGAACTAAAAAAAATGCAATGTTGGTCCTTTCCTTTAACCACTTCTGCTATGGACTGAATTGTGTCATCCCCAATTCATATTCCAAAGTCCTAACCCCCAATGTGATGGTACTCAGAAATGGAGCCTTTGGGAGGTAACTAGGTTTACATGAGATCATGAGGATGGGGCCCTCATGATGGGATTAGTGCCCTTACAAGAAGAGCCACCAGAGAGCATGCACTGTCTCTCTTCACCACGTAAGGACGCTGTAAGAGGGTGGCAGTCTGTAAGCTAGAAAGAGAGACCTCACCAGAATCCAACCATGTTAGCATCCTGATTTTAAACGTTCAGCTTCCAGAACTGTGGAAAAAAATAAACTTCTGTTGTTTAAGCCACCCACTCTAAAGTATTTCGTTACGGCAGCCCAAGAAGACTAGTACAACTTCTCTGATTGACTTTTATACTTTTACATTAGAATTATTCTAGGTCATAATTACACTCATGTAATTTACAGCCACAAATGTATTTTTATAATATTAAGAGGTTTGGAAGTGGAGTTAGTAAATAAATATCAATTCTTCAATTGCCAATTGTTCATAAAAGTGGGAAGAAGGAAAGAGAGAGAGAATTTTACATTTATTTAACAAGTAACTCAGAAATAAGCTTTGGGGGAGAGGGGGTTACCTCATTAGCAATAAGTGCAGACATGCAGACATTCCCCTACACAAAACCTCTTTCAGCAGCATCAGAAAGAGAATGCTTTTTGCATGTGTCACTTCTCAGGTCCAAGCCTCTAGCAGGCTTCTTGTTATATGCAATTAGCTCCACGCCAAGATTTAGTACATTTCATAATAAATCCCTTGACCACATTAACTGTAGGCTTGGCAAAGTTGGAAAGGCTCTATTCACGAAGACAGAAAACAAGCCACAGAACTTACCCCACAGCAAAACGCACTTGCTAGATGCCAACACACTACAAATTTCAACAGCCTGCCATGCCCTCCCTTCATTCCTCTCCCTCTATTTGGGGTAGAGGAGGGGTCAGAAAAATACAACCTGCCATGTGACTATGATTAAAGAGTATATAAGGGCAAAAAAAGCTACAGACAAATTTGGTGTGTTTACTTCTTCTTCCTCCTCCTCCTAAATCTTGTTACTAGCTTGTTCCTTTGACCTAACTCCCCAAACCACCCACCCAAAAAACCTAGAGTCACTTCACAGATGAGATCCAGAGTTTACCCTCATTTAAACAGTAACCATCTGTTGCCTGCAGGAAGACTGTGGCTCCTTCTCAGGTTTCCCTTTTTGGAACATGAAGGCTGTGGTATATTATGGCTATTCTGCATGGGAAAGTTCTCTGCAGGACAGCAGGAGCAATGAAAAAAGGAAGGAGGCACAGAACTAATGAGCCCTTCCGCTCATATCAAAACAAAGCACAACACCTTTTATTTGTTTTTGATAAACACCTTTTGAGAAAGAATTAAAACTACAGCAGTACAGAGAGAACATGCATGAGCTCTGGAGTTGTACAAACCCCAATTTCAATCTTAACTTGTTTTCACTTTGTCAATTAGAGCATCCGTTTCTTTATCTGAAAAACAGAGATACTACAGAGTTGACGCAGGGCCTAGAAATGTTTGGCTCAGAAAATGCTTATCATATACAAGATTAATTCTAGATATTTTATTTTGCAGTATTATTACTGGAAAAAATGTTAATCACAGGCAAATTACGATAAAAATATAGGAAGACAAAAAATAAAATATCACTATTAAAACTCCATTAAGTTCCCTTTTAGATAACACATTTGAAACATCGCCATTGTTAAAATTTACAATAAAAATTAATTAGGAGGCCTCTCTTGGATCCCCAGCAAGAGGCTCCTGGTACTGACATCCTATTCCTCTTTATTATAAATTTCTTTCTGGTTCTTTGAGGCTCCAGTATATATTTAAAATAAGAAAAAATAAGACTCTTAAAACCTGTATCTCATTTATAAAAACTATTGAAATTTTATATTATGTATTACAAATTTTAGAATGTTTTTATAGTGTCTTGCTTTTCCAGTGTAAGAAACAATGGTTTCCTTAGAGATATGATTTCCTTGGAGATATATCATTATGATATATCATGATATATTAGAAGTATATCATTAATAGCATTTCTAACAATAAAATTGATAAAATAATTTCCTACCATGTAAATAATCATACAACAAAATATCTGCAATTGGGACTAGCCTAGAAAAGTCAGGTTACTGGGTCACTTAGTTTATGGGTGCAAGCAAAAATTTACAGTCAGCCTTCCTTTGCCTCAATCCCAGCTTCATCACTTACCAGCTTTGGACCAAGGTACTATTTAATCTCTCTCTGCTTTAGTTTCCTTATCTGTAAAATGATCAATATCAGCACCCAACTCTTATAATTGTGAAAAAATTAAATAATGTTTAGAAGGTGTTTAGGACAGTGCCTGGTGCATAGTAAGTGCTTTGTATCATTATTATCATTGTTATTATTCATGCTATTATGAAAAATCATATGGTCCTTTAACATCTGCCTACAGTAGAATATTGCCTACACAACAAAGATCTTTTTCTATTTTCATTTCTTTTCCCCTCTTCTCTGATTTAATTGGCATATCTCATCTCTACTTTTTAGTCTTATAATGCATATTTATTTATTTTTAAATACTCACCATCAGTCATTTTACTGTTTTCCTAGTCATGATTTGGATGGATACAGCTCATGCTCTAATAGATTCCTCAGGAAGAATTGATAGAAAATTCCATAAACTCTTACATGTTGAAAACTACTTTTCTAAAGCCTTGTAAATTGAAAAATAGTTTGGATACAAAATTCTTGATTGCCACTTTATTTCACTGAGTAAAATAAAAAATAATAACAATAACAAAACTGTTCCATTGTTTCCTTGTATTGAATATTGGTTTTCAATAGCTAATGCTAGTCTAATTATTTTCCTTTGGTAGATGACACACTCTTTTTGCCTGTTAGCCCTTAGAATTTTATGATCATTGTTGAAACAGGCTAAATCTCCAAGTTTATTGTTTGGGGTTAATTTGCCCATGTAAGCTCTTTCAATATATAGGGATTCCGATTTTTTTCTATTTCTGAAAAATTTTCTTGGATTATAGTTTTAAATATTGGTTTTGTGAATTATTGTTTTTCTTCTTCAGAGAGTCAAGTAATACAAGTATTATTCCTTTATTGCCAGTCTTCCATTTCCACCACTTTCTCTATGACCCATTTTGCTTCGTGTCATTTGTATCCTCTTGGTCTTTTTCCTGTTTTTCTTTGATGCCGCTTATTAATTTTCATTTGAATCTATTCTCTCTTGGGTGTTCTGTAATTTATCTTCATTTTTGAGATAATTTTGTCATTTTCTTGTATTTATTTACCAAGTTCAATACAGTAGTTTTTCATCTCTCCCTGCTTTTTCTATTTGTTTTTAATTTTTAAATTTCTGATTAAAGGTATTTTTCTTATACCTAAATGTTTGAGTATATTTAAATGTTTAGAATGTAGACACAGTTTTCTTCTGCTTCTTGTTTTTTTTTTTTTTTTTTTTGGTGGGGGGTGGGGGTGAAGGTGGTATTTCCCTCCATTGATTTGTATGAAAATTCACTATCTGATCTTTTTCAATAGATTTGTATGATTTTTTATTTTCCTTTTTTTATTTTGTGATGTGAGGATATTTTACACAATTCCTAGTTTAAAGGCACCTTTTTTTTTTTTGGTCAATCTGGCAAATTCCAGGTGTCAGCAAAATTATTTCTTTTATACGTTTATTTGTTTTAGTAGTAGGGGAGAAGAGTTGAGTCCTCCAAGTTTGTGGTTCTCCTTTGTTTTACAGAACCCTAATTTAACCCTTTTCCTTCTTTTCTCCTTTCCCATTCATTGCCAAAGAATCGCTCTTCGTTCCTTTTTACCTTTTATCCCCTCCCTGAAAAGCAATGCAATTGGAGGACTGTCCCATAAAATTGTTAATTTGACCCTCTAAATAGCACATACTTTGAAACCTTTTCCCACAATCTTCATCCCATCTTCCCAGTTTCTTTTTCGGTATTTTCAGATTTGAGGTATATCTGACCTATACAGTGGTCTCTCCAACTGTTCCTTAAGTTCCCTTGCCAGTGTCCCTCTTCTTCCTCCCTAAGTGATTCCCAGTTTCTGTGTGTATACCACAAAGCACTGCAGCATGACAGGAAAGGGGCAGGAGTATGAAGGACTGCAGAACTTACAGTTATTTTGCAGTCATGTCATTCTCTGTCTTCAAGTGATGTTGAGTGTATATTTTTGAATAGAAATTTATTAGTGGTAAATTAATTTCATATCCATTGGGGAGGAGATTTGAAGAGGTTACTGTACTACCAACTCTCCACTGTCTTCAGTTATCTGGAAGGTAGGTGGTCATTTTTTAAAACATGTCCCATGACTTTTAAAAGAATGTGTATTCAACAATTTTGTAGCATAATATACAACATAAAGCCATTATATCAAGTGCAGTATTTGTAGAGCTCAACTTTCCAACATGCTTACAGATTTAAGACCTGCTTGGTCAATCATTAACAGAGAACATTATGCTCAAATCTCCTACTGAAAATTTGTTAACTTCCCCTTATAATTCAGTTAATTTTAGCTTTATAAAAAAATTTAAACCAGACTTCAGATATAAATTAGAAACTGTATCTTTCAGAATATTTTAATCTTTTATCAAATTGTAATAGTCTTTTTAATCTGTAGCAATGCTTTTCATTCTTAAAGTGTTATTTCTTACTATATCTATCCAAGCTTACTTTTGATTATTATTTGGCTGATATATTATTTTTCACTTGTTATTTTTAACCATTTTTAAATTTATAACTTAGGCATAGCACTTACAAACTGCATATACCTGGATTTTTGGAAATGCAGTGTTAACAATCTTTGTCTTGGAACTAAAAAGTGCAGTACCTTTACATTTATTGTAACTAAAGATATATTTGAATTTATTTCTATCATCTTACTTTGTGTTCTTCATTTTTTCCACATTTACTAACCTTCCTTCTGAAGGGAAAGTTTTGTTCCAAGTACATCCTTTCACTGTGAATGCTACATTTCCAGGATTGTGTGACCAGGGCTTGGTCAGATCCAGTATTTTTCTGGATTCATGTTTTCTTATTTCTTCTTCTGAAGATTTAGCTTAGTATCTTTCCAGGTCAGCAATATGTTTTACAATTATATTAAATAATTAGATTGAGCTCTTTAGATTACATATATTTTTAAATCCTAGATGATTTTTTTCAAAATATTTGTTCTGCCATAATGCCAGAAATGGAAGTCATGTCCTTTTTCTATATAAACTTAACATTTCCTTCAAAAACCACAAAGTGGTCAGGCATTTTGGCAAAATGTCTTTTTTTCCCTGAAGTTTGAAAAATAAAGTTTCTTCCCTGGTGATAAATATGTTAGCACCAATGGCTGCAGTTAAAAAACAAAGATATTTTGTATTCTGTTATAATGGTTTTTAAAACAAATCAGAATAGGAAAATGTCCAAACTCTACCATTCTATGCAAATTCTTAGAAACAGGCAAATGCATTTGTCAAATCTTTCTAAACCGCAATAATAATGATGTGCTAAATAAAGAAGCAACATCTTCAACTTGCTCCTTTTTACTTAGTCATCTTCTCAGTGACTAGGTGGAAAAGGCACTAATATCTGTTTATCTGTTTACTACTGCTGCAAAAATAAGCTACCCTAAAACTCAGTGGCTCCAAACATTAATTGCTCATGAGTCTATGGATCAAGATGGAAGGATCTTCAGGTCTCAGCTGGGTTCCCTCAAGCATGTGTGGTCAGGTACAAGTTAGGTAGGTGGCTCTGCTGATGTTGGCTGTTCTGTCTTAACACATTTTTGGTCAGCTGGCTGACGGCTGGTCTGAGAGGGCCAGACTCAAGTAAAATGACTTGGCTCTGCTCCATTTAGCTGCTCCCCTTCCACCAAGTGAGCCTGTTCACGTGCTCACAGCAGTAACAGAGTTCCAAAGGGAACAGAAGCAAGCAAGACCTCTTAAGGCCCAGGCTGGGAATTGGTACACCATTACTTCTGCTGTGCTCTATTGGCTAAAGCAAATCACAAGACCAGCCCACATTCAAGAGCTGGGAAAACAGACTTCACTTCTTAATAGGAACAACTACGAAGTCTTACTGCAAAGAGTGTTAGATACATGGAGAAGGGAAGTTTGGGGGCATTGCTGCATTTACTCAATCATAATCTGTAAGTATAAAATGTATGTTTGCAGTTGATATTTCATAAGATGCCATCTTATTCATGTCTGAAAATTTTATTAACACCTAAATAAGGTTATGAGAAACTCAAGAACCTCCCTAGGGTGGTTACAACTCTTATCCAATTTGAAAGTATCCTCCATTTAACTGACTTGAGGTCAGCTTTTTGTTTTTTTTGAGACAGAGTCTCGCTCTGTCTCCCAGGCTGGAGTGCAATGGCACCATCTTGGCTCACTGCAACCTCAGCCTCCTGAGTTCAAGTGACTCTCCTGCCTCAGCCTCCCAAGCAGCTGGAATTACAAGCTCCTGCCACCACACCCAGCTAATTTTTGTATTTTAAGGACAGATGGGGTTTCACCATGTTGGCCAGGCGGGTTTCGAACTCCTAACCTCAAGTGATCCACTCATCTCAGCCTCCCAAAGTGCTGGGATTACAGGCATGAGCCACCACGCCCAGCCGAGGTCAGTTTTTTATATGAAACTGGAACAGTAGGCAGTTAGTTAAGACGTTTACTCCAAAGGGCACTGAAAATCTACTAAAGGCTTTCAATTGAGGAAGTTAGATCATTACTTTTGAAACCTTGGAAGACCACTCTGACTTCAAGGGGGACGTTAGATTGGCATGAAGCAGATTAGAGTCAGAAAAATATTCTTTTAGCAGGCTGTAAGTTATACAGTAGTTTAAAGCAAAAGATGATAGTGCCCTTGGATCAAGGTACTGACAGTAAAAATGACTAAAAGTTGACAAAATTTGAGGGCTAGCTAGGGGTGGAATTGAGTATTCTGTTAAATGGGTATTCAACACAATTACTAAGTGCCAAATACTCTGGTAGGTTCTAGGGAATCAACAGTCCATCTACTTGTGAAACTTTGAGCTTAATGAAGAATAGAGACATGAATCAAAAAAATCACATGTTCCTCAAAGGATTACTGAAAAATCATCTGCTTTACCCTTAGTCTAACAATAGCTTAACTGCAAATTGATGCAATTTATTGACATATCTTTAATACTTCAAAGGGACTAAATAATTATTAGCACATTAATATGTATTACAGAATATATTCCTTAATACATATATAATATATTCCTTAATATATATATTGAATTATAAAATACATTCTCTTTAGATAAAAAACAAATTAAGTTATTAATGAGCTGCTTGATTTTTTTACATAAACAACCTCAAATATTTTGTAAAATAGAGAAAGGGTGTAAACAACAAAGAAATGAGCATGTGGATGAGTAATGAATATGAGATCCTTGGAGAATAAGCTATCACAGTAGTATCTGATTAGTAGCAGAGAGAGAATATAAGATAAGGCCATCTATAATGTTAACATGATAGGATGCAAAAACTCTGTTTTGTCTTGTTTGAACAGAGACTCCTTTGAGACTCTGATAAAGCTATGGGCTAGAAAATGTACACACACAGAAATCCGGCATGTAGTTTCAGAGAGTTCACAGACACTCTCTCCCTCAGATGCACATCACTTTATAATAAACAAACAGCTCTGGACTAGAATCCAGCTGATACAGTTCTCTCATCAGTGGAAGAAGGGAGGTGAGCTCAGTCACTTTTCGAAGTCTATTTTCAAGGCTCTCTGGGATGACACCTGCAAAGGCAGATGAGTAGAAAGAACCCTGCACTGAGAATTGGGTGCAGGCTAAAAACACAAGGGAATTCAGGGAAGGAAACACACACACACACACACACACACACACATACACACACACGCACACACACACAGGAAAGAAAAGGTCACCCTTTTTGATAATTCAGCCTGGGGCTAGTTCTGATCCTACCTCTAAGCATTCTGAAGGTGATTCAGTTTGCACTGCCAACCAAATCAGAGCAATGATAATGTTGTAAACCATGAATTCCCACATTTGAAACCATGAAAACTGATAAACAATCTTTACAAAAAACAATTAATTCTACTTCTATCCCATGGTGCAGAAGGAGATCTGAAGACCCTCCCTATGAAAATCACAAACACTGTATCTTTCAAAAGTACTGTAAGTCAGACTGACCTAAATTCAAATCTCCACCCTACCAATTCTAGCTGGATTAACCTGTTATCAGGTAAGTAAAGTCTCTGATTCTGATTTTCTTCATCTGCAAAAAGAGGATTATAAAATCTCCTCTGCTTTAAAGAGTTATTGACAAGATAAGATGAAACAACATATGCTGAGTGCTTAGCACAGTAGAAGGCAGCTATACCAAACACCACCACCAAAGGTGAAAGGCAAAATCACAATTTTCAGCTAAATATTTATGTTATTTCTACTCCTGTTCCCCACTCTCAAGCTAAACTTTGACGAAGAGAAAAAGTTTCTTGTTTCCAAGATTAAGGCAAAGCTATACTTGTTCCCATATGAAAACATAAAATATATTTAGTGAAAGAATTGTTCTTGCATCCTAGAAGAGAAAAAACACAAAAGACTATCATGTTCCCTCTGCGTGCTATGAAGAAAATATTCCTCTATGGAAGGGGAAATAATTTTTTTAATTAAAAAATCCATGGAAAGATGTCATCCTCCTCTATCCTTCCATGGAAAAAAAAAGAAAAAAACAGTGAGGGGGACAGTAGCATAGGAACCTTTTTCATGCCAGTATTTCCAAACTGGCTGTCCATTAGATTCCCTACACAGCTTTTCACACATTCTTGAGTTTGAAATCCAGAATCACAATCTTTTAGAGATGAGAATCGGGTATTTTCCAAAGCCTCATTAATTTAGCCAGGTGCATAGCCAGGGTTGAGACACTGTCTTACCCCTAAGTCTTTCCTTTCACTTATAAACCACTACAGGATATCTCAGCCTATTTAACAAAGATTATTTTTAGAGCTAAAAGGCAGCTTAGCCATCAGATGAGGTGAAACCAATAGCCTTATTTTATGGCTGAAGAAAAAAAGGCCTAGAAAGGTCGAAATATTAGGCCAGGTGCAGTGGCTCATGCCTGTAATCCCAGCACTTTGAGAGACCAAGGCGGGAGAATCACCGAGGTCAGGAGTCCGAGACCAGCCTGGCCAATGTGATGAAACCCCGTCTCTACTAAAAATACAAAAATTAGCTGGGTGTGGTGGTGCACACCTGTACTCCCAGCTACTCAGGAGGCTGAGGCAGGAGAATCACTTGAACCTGGGAGGTGGAGGTTGCAGTGAGCTGAAATCACACCACTGCAATCCAGCCTGGGTGACAGAGTGGATTGCAAAAAAAAAAAAAAGTTGAAATATTACACTTGCCCCAGCCTAGAACTTGAACCCAGCTCCTCTCGTTGCCAAATTCTTCTGCTGAAGATCACCTATGCAGTAACTTGCCGAGGACACATGACCTGAATCTATTCATGAGGAAACACCAAAACCAAAACAAGAAACATGCTTCTAAATACGCATGTGTTTGTGGGGGAGAGGTCTTATATCCTTCAACAATAGTAACGTTACAGCCAAATTCACAGAGACAGTAAGCATAATGGGGGTTGCCAAGGACTGAGGGCTGGAAAACAGAGTTAGAAGGTACAGTTTCAGTTGCAGAAGATGAAAATGTTCTTGAGATGGATGATGGTAATGGTACAAGAATGTAAACATACTGAATGCCACAGAACCACATACTTGAAAATGGTTAAAATTGTCCATTTTATGGTATACACATTTTGCCACAATAAAAAATGGCAATATTATGCAAGGTAAAACTTCAGAATTACGATGTTGCATCTTTTCCACACACAAGAATTTTCTGACTTTAAAAGTTGATTAAAATATTTTAGGGCTGGACCCAGTGGCTCAGTCCTATAATCTCAGCACTTTGGGAGGCCAAGGAGGGCCAATCACTTGAGATCAGAAGTTCAAGACCAGTCTGGCTAAAATGGTGAAACCCCGTCTCTACTAAAAATATAAAAATTAGCTGGGCATGGTGGCACGCCTGTAATCTCAGCTACTTGGGAGGCTGAGGCATAGAATCGCTTGAACCTGGGAGGTGGAAGGTGTAGTGAGCCATGATTTCATCACTGCACTCCAGCCTGGGTGACAGAGTGAAACTCTGTCTCAAAAAAAAAAAAAAAAAAAAATTCATTTTAATGGTCAGGCGCAGTGATTCACGCCTCTAATCCCAGTACTTCAGGAGGCCAAGGCAGGAGGACTGCTTGAGCTGAGAAGTTCGAGACCAGCCTGGGCAACACCGTACAATCCCATCTCTACAGAAAAACAAAACAAAATTACTCCAAGGTGGTGGTGTGTGCTTGTAGTCCCTGCTACTCAGGAGGCTGAGGTGGGAGGATTGCTGCCCAGGAGGTTGAGGCTGCAGTGAGCTATGATCGTGCCATTGTACTCCAGCCTTGGCATCAAAGGGAGACTTTGTCTCAAAATAAGTAAAATAAAAAGTAAAAATAAAAATATATCATTTTAATGCATTGTTTTTAGGGCATATTTGCTGTTCTGCCTTGAATTTATGGAGACAAGTTAGAAGTACAGTACTCTGAAACTCTGCCAATTCTTGAATGAGAACCAACCAAAGACATATAATGCTTCAGCTCTAGGGCCATCCTGCTAGGAAAATTCTATTTTTTAGTAAATGAGAAACACACATATACTTAACAGCATGTTGCATGTTTTTTAAAAAGTCAAAAATTATGAATAAAATAATAATAATTTGTATTGTCATTTTATATAATAAGATGTTCCATAAAAATATTTTGTTACGATAATCACTTCTCTTAGATACCGGATGAATACCACAAATAACAAATCTATAACTAATTAAATTCAAATTTAGTCTAGGAATTCCAAACGATCCATATGGTTGGTTTAACCACAGTATTTTCAATATACATTGTTTTTTTCTTTTAAAGTATCAAACTTTGTATTAAAAACTGATTTTTCACTGTGTAGTATAGTCTTGCCCATATGCACACCAATTTAATGACAGAAATATATCATGAGATATAGTTATTAAACAAAATATTTTTCTACTTCTAATTCTATAATAATGGGGAAAAAAATTTAAAGATCTCCTGGACGAAACAACAGGAAAAGAAAAATCACTGGATACGAGAAAAATAAGAACCAAATGTATTTTATTTATTTTTATTTTTATTTATTTCTGAGACAGGGTCTCGCTCTGTCATCCAAGCTGGAGTACAGTGGTGCTAACACAGCTCACTGTAGCCTCAACCTCTGAGCTCAAGTGATCCTCCTGCCTCAGCCTCCTGGAGTAGCTGGGACAACAGGCACACCCCAGCACACCTGGCTAATTTTTTAAAATTTTTTATAGACACCAGGTCTAGCCATGTTGCCTAGGCTGGTTTCAAACTTGTGGGCTCTAGCAATCCTCCTGCCTTGACCTCCCAAAGAATCAAATGTAAACACTCAAATAAATCCAAATGTTTTACTTGACACTTTTCATTAATACCTTAAACATTTTAAGAGTCCCTTGTTCTTTTCTATTCTACCAGGAAGTATAAGGTACTGCTAAAGAGCATAGGATTTACAATCATATGACCAGTTCAAATACCAGCTCTACCATTTACTTGCTGGAAATGGTACTCATCTGGAAATGAGAAGAAATTATAATAGGAGATATACCTAATGCTAAATGACGAGTTAATGGGTGCAGCACACCAACATGGCACATGTATACATATGTAACAAACCTGCACATTGTGCACATGTACCCTAAAACTTAAAGTATAATAATAAAAAAATAAAAAATCTATTAAACCTGCCTGAATATGCAATGTGAAACTGCTATACTTCATTAAATTCATTAAAATAGAGGGTAAATAAATGGTAGAAATATTTGATATAAATGAGTCAAAGAGCTGATCATCTTAATTACATAAGGAGGTCACACAAATTAGTAATAAACTAAAACTGTAATAGACAAACTAGAAAACACATGAACTGGGAACTCACAGAAGATGAAATACAAATGCCTACCAAGCATATCAGAAGTAAAAAAAAAAAAAAAAAAGCAGAACCTGTTAAATGAAATGTATGGGAGGCCACTGGTTTGGACTGAGCTTCTGCACTAGGCCCTATATACCAGACAAGACCAAAATGGAGTCACTCAGAATGCAGTTATTATCTGGCTGGGAGCCACATAATCAAACTGAACTTTGAAATGGGCCTGTTTTCAGAAAAAAAATTAGGAGACGCACAGCAGCCAATGAGGAGGAGCCTAGTTTACCTGGGCCAGTGTAACAAGAAAGTCCTCTCTGTTTTAATTCTATAAGGAAAGTTACTTTGAAATGACCAATTCACTTTTCATTTCCTGTTTCTGCTTTCTTCAGCCCTTTCCAGCCTATAAAAATAACGTCCTCTGCTCAGCTCATGGGAGCACCTTTTCTAAATGTTTAGATGAGATGCTACTGATTCATGAATTGCTAATAAAAACCTAGTATCTTTAAACTAAATTTGTTGCAATTTTGGTTTTTAACAAACCTTAGAAGGAATTAAAAAATAGCACATTAAAACAGTGGAAACCAGTCCCCTCTATGCTCCTGAAACAAATATTAGTCATACAGCATTCCTGAAAGCAATTTTGCAATATGCTTAAAGAGCCTTTAAAAATGTTCTCATTCCTTGATCTAATTATTCCACGGTCAGGAATATATCCTAGAAATAAAACCTGAAATAATAAAATATAAGATGATACAAGATGATAGAGCCATTAAAATTTTTTTTATAAGACCATTCATCAATATAGGCGATATCATTCCAATGTAAATGCATATACACACACACACGCACACATGTGCATGCACACAAACACAGGAAATATAAAAGTGCTGATATTGAAGTGGTGTAATTTACCTTTTGCTACCAAATTTGTCTAATAAGCATAGATTATTTTCACTAATAAAAATACTGTTTTAATTATTCTATTATTAATAAATATTACACTTCTATACATATATAAAATGTATCTCAATGTATTTGATAGTTGATATCTCTGGAAAAATATGTTTGCATTTCAGTTTCTACTTTCCTTGGCCTCACTTTCTTATAGTTTAAAAACTTAATTTACCTGCTGAGCCATTCCCACTGTTCTGGCAAATCTTCAAAAAAACAGACATTATAATTCCTACTGGGGGTAGGGGATGTAGGATCTAGATTAATCTAAATTAATCCTAAAATGTATTTCTAGAGAAAGGTGCCTATAGGCACCCGCTCGTTCTCTCTTTGCAGAGCCTAGTGCACAGGCAGTGGTTTTCTCTGCTTTCCGATTTACTTCAGTTCACTAACAGGAAATGCCAACCCTAAGGCCAATCCATCTGATTGGTTCTCTAACCCCATCCCAACTCCTGGTAAAAGGCCCCTTTCCTCTGGGGTTAATTTCTGATCCCATCAACAACTGGAAGCATGACTCAAAAATGAGCAAAACCTTTTCCAAACCCCTCACCCTGGTAGGAAGGTTCCTGATGCCCAGCCCCACACTTCAGATGCTAACCTTTGGAAAGAGACAGCAACCCAAATCAAGACCAATTATTTCTGGCTTACTCCCCAACCATCTCTCTCCATGAAGAAAATTCTATGATTCTGATACTTGAATCAATGTGAGTTTTTATGCACAGTGGCATAATATGTGGCCCAACTGAAACTTACTATGCTGAAAATTTAACCTCACAACACTTAGCCAGGGGAAAAACATATATATTGTATTTATAGCCCCGAAAGGAGTAATACCAATACTTGTAAAGTACATTATTTCTGCTTTCTTAATTAAAATTATGCTACCATCTTTTAATATGGTTATTTTTAAGCAAGCAATGAAATATTTTATAAATATGCAAAAGTAAGTTTCTGAAAACTTTACTGAGTAGATTTATAAGGATTTAAAGTATAAAAAATTTCTGATAGAGTTCACTGGAGTAAAGTCAAACCCATTAAGAAGTATAACATGTATTCATCCTACATTTGTTCATGTGTTATTAGAAAAGATATATCAAAAGTAAGCACATCCTCCCATCATTATTATGAGCCAGTTCAAATTGTTCAAATAGTATTATCGGTTTTCAGTATAGCACTGAAGTAAAGATCAGGAGGTCTCAATGTAATTCCCACTCTACCACTTAACTATCTACATAATCCTGGGCAATTTTCTTAATTTTCCAATGCTTCAGTTTTAACATCTATAAAATGGGAATATTAACAGAACAGTTTTCACAGACTTGTGAAGAACAAATTGAATTCATTTAAAGCATTCGTAATAGCATTTGAACACTGTAGCACACTATAAAAATAGCTATAATAGGAGTAAATGCTTAGAAAAGAGTCTCCAAGTTAACGTTCACTAATATATGTGGGTCAGAGGTAGGGCCTCTGAAGTCCACGCCACCTGTTTCACATTTGCCCTCTAAAATGAGTGACACCAACTAGAACTATCAGCATGAAAAGTATAATGGATGGATTTGCTTTAAAATGGCATAATGTTGTAATCTAGTTTTTATTAACCTGAAACATGTTATCGTGATGATATCAGCAATGGTTGGTAAAAGGTTATTACCAAGTGTGTAAATGTTTGAGGAACAGACTAAGTGTGTAGGCCAACATTTCAAATGAAAAGCACAAGTTACTTTCTCATTATAGAACAAATCCACATCCACCTTGTCATGTTGATTTACATCAGTTTCCTTATCTTATGTGTTTTTACTGATAACTAAAGGAACAATTGTAGATTCCATTCATCTTATAAAATGTATTATCTTTCTGTTAACTTCAGCATACCACAAAGTCGGAGTGTCAAAAAGCAGTAACGATGCCTACCAAACATCTCAAATTATTTAATAATTACTATGAACTTACCTTTATCAACAAGGCATGAAATGATCTTCCTTTCCTTTCACATCTAAGAAAGAGTAGGCTGAACTCCACCCTGTCAACAAAGAGACAAAAACTGAATTGCTATTTGTGGCTTGAGAAAGGTTTATTATTATTTACCAGTTCAAATGCAGAATCATGGTAATACATAATGGAATTGGGGGATGGGAGGGGAAGTACAGTTCTTCCGTTTTTTTCTTTTGAGATGGAGTCTCGCTCCATCGCCCAGGCTGGAGTGCAGCGGCGCGATCTTGGCTCACTGCAAGCTCCGCCTCCCGGGTTCACACCATTCTCCTGCCTCAGCCTCCCAAGTAGCAGGGACTGCAGGTGCCCGCCACTACACATGGCTAATTTTTTGTATTTTTAGTAGAGACGGGGTTTCACCGTGTTAGCCAGGATGGTCTCAATCTCCTGACCTCGTGATCCACCCACCTCGGCCTCCCAAAGTGCTGGGATTACAAGCGTGAGCCACCACGTCCAGCCTCATTTGTTATTATTAATTGAAAAGATGTACTAAAAATAAAGCACATCTTCCCATGATTATTGTGAACCAGTTCAAACTGTTAAAACAGTATTACAGGTTTTCACTATAGCACTGTAGTAGAGATCAAGAACACCTCAAAGTTCTAACTTTTGGTGTAATTTTTAACAAAGTTCTAACTTTTTACTATAGCACCTCAAAGTTCTAATGTTTGAGCTCCTAGCTTGTGAATAAGAGAAAATATAATATTCCATATAATAGAATTACAGACACCATATGATGTTTCTCTGGTATCTTTCCAAAAAGAAGCAAATACTAAGTCTTACTAGACTTACAGTTTGGGGATGTTACTTAGTGCAAGGATTTTGATACTTAAATGCTGGCCACAGATTTATTTATTATTATTTTTTTTGAGACGGTGTCTCGCTCTGTTGCCCAGGCTGGACTACAGTGGCGCGATCTCGGCTCACTGCAAGCTCTGCCTCCCGGGTTCACGCCATTCTCCTGCCTCAGCCTCCAGAGTAGCTGGGACTACAGGCGTCTGCCACCACGCCCGGCTAATTTTTTGTATTTTTAGTAGAGACGGCGTTTCACCATATTGGTCAGGCTGGTCTCGAACTCCTGACCTCAAGTGATCTACCCGCCTCGGCCTCCCAAAGTCCTGGGATTACAGACAGGCAGGAGCCACCGCACCCGGCCAATAGCCACAGATTTTAAGAGTAAATATATAAACTGACTTTGATCTATAACATTTTTCTAATCAAGTTTACTTACTAAAAAATAGAAAGCAAAAGATAATCAGATTTCTACAGCCTTTTGTTAGTATTCACATCACCAATACCCTCTTCTACTAAAATGTATAAATCACAATTAGATTTTAATTGATATAAAATATATTTTTCTATATTTACATATGCTCCATGATTTCCATATTTTCCAAAACATAAACAAAAAGAGACACAAGCTTAAAGGAGAAGACTGAGAGCAGTATGGCTGTGGTAGTCAAATTAAGGTCAAAAATAAGACTATAGCAACACTTTCCATTCTAAAAACAGAATTACTATATGACCCAGCAATTCCACTGTTGGATATATAATCCAAAGAATTGAAAGCAGAATCTCAAAGAGATATTTGCACACCCATGTTCACTGCAGTATTATTCACAATAGTCAAAAGCTGAAAACAACCCAAATGTCCACTGAAAGATGAATGGATAAAACAAAATGTGGTATGTATATATATACACACACATACACATATATATACACACATATATATATAAAATATTTAGCCTTAAGAAGGAAATCCTGTCACATGCTACAAGATGGATGAACCTTGAAGACATCATGCTAAGTAAAATAAGCCAGTCACTACAAGACAAACACTGTATGATTCAACTTACATGAGGTATCTAAAGTACTCAAGCTCAAACAAACAGAAAGAAGGTAGAATGGTGGCTGCCAGGGACGTGAAGAAAAGAAAATGGGGCTTGTGGCTTAATCCAGAGTTTCAGGTCTCCAAGATGAAAAAGTTCTGGAAATCTGTTGCACAATAACGTGAATATACTTAACACAGCTGAACTGCACTTAAAAATGGTTAAGATAGTAAATTTTATGTTACATGTATTTTACATTAATTTTTTTAAACGCAATAAGACACATAACACACAGGAAGATAGAAGTAAGAATTCATGGTCGGGCCGGGCACGGCAGCTCACGCCTGTAATCCCAGCACTTTGGGAGGGCGAGGTGGGCAGATCACAAGGTCAGGAGATCGAGACCATCTTGGCCAACATGGTGAAACCCCATCTCTACTAAAGAAATACAAAATATTAGCTGGGCATGGTGGCGCACGCCTGTAGTCCCAGCTACTTGGGAGGCTGTGGCAGGGGAATCGCTTGAACCCAGGAGGCAGAAGTTGCAGTGAGCCGAGATCGCGCCACTGCATTCCAGCCTGGTGACAGAGCGAAACTCTGTCTCAAAAAAAAAAAAAAAGAATTCATAGCCTTGAAGTATGGGTAAGATTTGTCAAAGCAGAAATAGAGATGGGAAATCCGGGTACAAGATTCGATCTGCAAAAAGTCATCTCCAAACGATGAAGGAAAAAAAGCAAAAATTCAGGTAAACAACCACCTAATAGAAGAGTAACTCAAATAAAACTAGAAAGGCAAATTGAGGGTCATTCAGTAAGGTGGTCAGTACTTAAGGGAGAGTATCCGAAGTGACAGAACAAGTAAAGCTCTGGCCATATGGACCGGAGGTGAGAGGAAGTAGTCAGACACCTGTTACAAGTTTTGCTCAATGCTGACCCAGGAAGTCTGGCTTATGGCCAAAAAAAAAAATCATATAGATTATTTCTAGATATAGTACAGCACATCAGGTAAATGTGAAGTTGTACTTGGGGGCCCTACAGGCAGCTGAATCAGTTGGGTTTCCCATAAAGACATATCCTAGAAAACCTTCAAACCCAGTATGATTACATTACCTTTAAATTGTATCAAACTGAAATCTCTTCACTCTAAAACTTCTTAGGTGCAGAAACTGCCTCGTACAACTTTCACATCTAAAGTTCAGTTTTATACTCACAGAAAGCATTATGTAAGTAATTGCAAAACATAATCATCTTTTACTGCTGAATATTTACATGGGGATATATTAAACACTTGAAATTGGTTATTGTTTATTTTTGAGACAGGGACTAGCTCAGTCACCCAGGCTGGCGTGCAGTGGCACAGGCTCAAGCGATCCTCCCACCTCAGCCTCCAAAGTAGCTGGGACTACAGGCATGCTCCACTGGCATCCAGCATTTTTCTTTGATAATAAAAGAAAAATCTTAAATATCACAAAAACCCAGCAGATTCATCAATTCTTATAAAATATGAAGACAAAATTTCTAATTTCTCATCTGAAAAGGTTTAAAAATTCATACTTCTACTTTAATCAAAAGTTAGAATTTCAAAATTTATATTTCAAACAAATACTTGCAATCATCACTAAACGTGCTATTGATAGGGGCTTTTATACTCTATTGCTTCTGGGTTTAAAAAGTGACTTTGAAAATATTTTTATATGTTTAGAGGGTATTTAAAACCAGTTTGCACTTGAAAGCTTTGTCTACAAATATTTACATTTATCTTTATTTAAATTATCATTTTTTTCTGAATTTCCAAGCCATACTCTAGGGCTTTGCCTTCAAAGCTATAGAAGCTAAAAGATTTTAAAAGTGCCTTGTGAGGTCACAGAGAATGCCAGGGTGCCGGTAAGAGAAAGCAGACCTCACTGCCTGGATGTCAATTTTCCAGCTCCTGGGCACTCGCTCACAAGAGCACCACAGCTTAAAATGATTATAAAGATAGCATTAAGACAATTAAACAAATTACTTGGAATCAAGAGTACTTAAAACCTATTCCTAACCTGAATAAAAGGTACGACCTTAGAAATTGAGGTAAATTACAGAAAAGTGTTACAACATGAGTAAGCATTCATTTGTTTTCCTTTTGCAATTTAAAATTTTTCGAGCATTCTAGAATCAAACCTTGGGGTATTTCAGCAATGCATACAAACTAAGGAAGGCCTTAAAGTATTTCAGTAATGCATCAACACTCAAAATAGCTTGTATATATAGGTAGTAAACTAAGTTGTTGAAAATTGTTTGACTATTCAGTATCCTTACTGGAGCAATCAAACCTTTTCTGTATGTGTTTACCTTGTATTATCTTTTAAAATAATGGAATATTGAAGATCTTATTCTCTAGTATGAAACTGTAAGTGAACAATATAACTAATTATTAAATTCTAGAGTCCAAAAAATTCTAAAGATTCTGATGTAAAATTAAGTTTTTTCTTTTCAAAACAAAAATCCATGGAATATGTGGGGGGAGGGGATATAGATTTCCTTCCTTCTTAGAAAGGGTTTTTAAAGAATAACATGAGTACTTCATAAATCAAGAAACATGACATTCACAACATATTAACAATCTTGAAGGTGTAAAATACTTATATATAAAATTATGAAATGCATGTGAAGCCTTAAAATAGCAGAAAAGATTAGTAACAGTTCCATGTTCCAAACATGTCCATATTTTTACCATACCAAGACTAATATCTTACTTTACAAAGGATGTACGCATTAGCTTATTTAATCCTCATAATAAGCACACGGTACTTTACATATAGCAGAATGCAGAGCAGCAAAGAAACAGGTCTTGGAGTCAGGCAGTCCTTGGGTATGAATTCTAGCTTTATGTTTACTGGCTGTGTGACATCGGGCAAGCTGCTTAACTTCTCTAACCCCTGGTTTTCTCATCTGTAAAATTGGGATAATGCCTGCCTCCAATTTACTACATGAATTAAATAACATAATGCACACAAAGCATTTAACAAAGTACCTCTTACCCCGCCCCCCCGCCAAAAAAATCATCATCATTTACAGATAAGTGTCTGTAATTCAATAAACAGAGTGCACTTGAGAACTTGGGATGTTCAGCTCCTCACCTAAGGCTATTTCCACAGTTCCATAATTGTTTAAGAGCCTACCAAAAGACACCTTCCAACGTTAATGTGGGAAACTCCAAACTCTGAGGCAGGGTACCCTTCTTTGTAACATCTTTGCTTCCAGAGTGAAGTCAGAATCCAACGCAAGATGAAATGCTGGGCAATTATCAATTCATTGTGCTAATAGAGGCTAATTTTTGCTGAAGACTACCAAACCCACAGAGAATGTAAACCCATCACAACCAAAACTTTCAGGTTAAGTCTAACATACTCAAGAAAAGTCAAATTAAACAGTAGAACACTAAATCATTTATTATTATTCCCAATTCTCCATTCTCTAAGGCATAATGAAATGAGCAAGAGGACTGAGGGAAATAAAAGCTAAAGATGCTATTAATCCAAAACTTGCACTGATAACTTAGAGCTGACAGTTTCTTTTATAGCAGAAACTCCATAACCATCACATGGCAAATAGCATAACCAAGTAAAGATGTTCTCTACCACAAGTGGTAAAACTCTCTCTCTCTCTTGGCAGGAAGTAGAGAGAAAGGGAAGTCAATCCACTGAGAGCTCCAACCAGCAAGACACTCCACAGACACAGTGATTAAGAGCTAGTGTATGACTACGAAGGTCCTTGAGAGCCAAAAACCTATTCTTCAAGAGTGCATTCCAAGTTTAGTGCAAGAAAATCATAAAAACAAGCCCAAATACGGCATGAAGTTCACATTGCAAGAACCCCTGTAACATGACTTTTATCCAAAAGTTTAAACGCAAAATTTAGTTAAGACTGATCAGAGTTTATAAAAATAGAATTTTAAAAGGCCATTTAGAACATAAAGATAAATTTTCCTTAAAACCTTTCTTTGCAACTTCTTCTCTAATATAACTTTGTAAATCTACTGACTACACAGATTTTCAACCCTATTGCCCATAAAGTTTGCTAAACATCCCTTGAAAGTACTACTATTAATGTATTCAGTCTAAAAGATACTTGTTATGCTGTGCACAAGTATTCAAATATTGACCAGGCCTCAAGGGGGAAAGTGGTGCCTCTATTCCTTACAACCATTAAGCTTTGCATCTTTAGAAAAAATAAGGGCCAAACTTACATAAAACATGAGCCATTTTATAAAAACTAAATTTTTAAAAGAAATGCTTACATGATCTCAGGAAAAATAACAAATTAAAATGTTACAGATTATAAAAACTATGCATACTTAGAAACACAGTCACATTTTATTTTATAATGAACAGGAGTATTTCAAATTCAAGTAGGCCTTTTGAACCCATTTAACATGGATGGAACATACCTCTAATTCAGTCAAACCTAAAAGAAGAAAAAGGAATACTATTGGGATGAAGTATAGCCCATATGCAAAGCTGAATATTGAAGATACATGTTATCTGAATAGCATAAACATTTAGACAAAGTAGCTCAGATGAAAGAGCTGGCCATATACACTTAAGAGACTACATTTGATCATTTAAGAGAACCCTCAAAGAAAAAAGGTATTTCAGCATGTGATCTGGAAGAAATTTTAGCATCACAGGAAATATCTGACTTTCTTCTGGTGCTTAGTAAAATAACGGAAAAAGGTTTAAAGAAAAAGAAGTGTAAAGTGTAAAATTGTTTTCATACAATATATGAATGATGATTCTAGATTCTAAAAACCTCACGGAAGTTTTGTCTTTGACATTTCAGAAAGAGTAAAACAAAAATCAGAAATTATCTGACAAATACAAATTATTATTCTTCCTTTAAAGCAAAGTGTGTGTGTGTGTGTGTGTGTGTGTGTGTGTGTGTGTGTGTGTGTGTTTGATAGTAAAATTTAATTCAAACAAATCATGGAGTTTAATTTTAAAAAAGAGGTTCTAGAGAAATTTAAGAAATAGTTTTTGACTGTTTAAGCCCTGTCCTCAGAGCACTCTAACATTTAACTGTTGAATGAGGACTCTATGGAGACACACACTACCATGCAAATAAGCAGTGCCATAGAAGAAACTAGCAGTTACAGAAGAAATTAAGCTACAACATTCAAGCCTTCATGCTGTAGTCTACCAAACTGGGAATACTTGAGGTGAAATATATGTTTTAAAGTGACTAGGTAAACACAAATACTCATCCTGTGCAACACCTTTGATTAATAATAAGTCAAATGCATTATGCTAAATTCAAACACTTATTTTCATGATCTAGGAATATTTTCACTCTGTTGTTCACAGCCTCAAGCACTGGCATTTGCCTTCCCTTTGCCTGGGATGGCCCTTCCCTCAGATCCAACTGTCCAAACCTGCTCATCGTTCAACACTGGAAACAAAGGACACTTATTGGTCCCTTCCAAGGAAACAGGATTTCATTTGGTCTCCCCACACTCAGCTCCAATGACAGTGGGGAGCCCCCTTTTTTGCTGAATAAAAAAGTAAGGCATTCAGACACGTAATACCTCTGTAACAGGTTCATGTCTGTAATCTCAGCACTTTGGGAGGCCGAGGTGGGTGGACCATTTGAGGTCAGGAGTTCAAGACCAGCCTGTCAATATGGTGAAATCCCGTCTCTACTAAAAAAATACAAAAATTAGCTGGGTGGTAGTGGTGCACACCTGTAATCTCAGCTACCTGGGAGGCTGAGGCAGGAGAATCACTTGAGCCTGGGAGGCAGAGGTAGAGGTGAACTAAGATCACCCCACTGCACTCCTGTCTGGGTGACTGAGTGAGACCCCGTCTCAAAAGAAAAAAAAAGAAGAAGTAAGGCTGGGTATGGTGGCTCGCACCTGTAATCCCAGCACTTTGGGAGGCTGAGGCAAGAGAACTGCTTGAGCCCAAAACTTCTAGATTAGACTGGGCAACATGGTGAAACCCCATCTCTACTGAAAATACAAAAAAAAAAAAAAAATTAGCGGGGCACAGGCACGGTGGCACATGCCTATAGTCCCATGTACTTGGGAGGCTGAGGCAGGAGAATCACCTGGGGCCCAGGGGGCTGAGTGAATTGTGACTGCACCACTGCATTCCAGCCTGGGTGGGTGATGGAAGTGAGACTCTGTCTCCAAAAAAAAAGAAACGGTGATCTTAATATGCAACTAAAACTAATCTTAATGCAGTAATTACACAAGAATAAACATTTACTGGGCAATGTGTCAATCATATTTTGAAGGTTATGAAAACTTATGTTTTCCCAAGGGTTCAAAGACCAGTATTTTCAATTTGCTCCAGAAATTGTAAAAAGTTCCATACGTCCCAGGGAAACTCTAAAATGTTTTCTTTAGGTGAAATGAAGTGAAAAAGAGAAGAAAGCTCACAAAACAGAGAGAATCAAAATTAGAGAGACAGGCAGGGAAACTAAACTAAGGCTATTCCAAGGTGAAAACTGAGATGGTATTAACTGAGGCCCTAAGATGTAGGAGGAATAAAGAGGAGTAGAAGAACTCAGAATTAAGACAGTAGATGTAACAAGAATTAATGATCTATTGCTAGATTTCTAGTTTAAGCATCTGTGTATCTGGTGACATCACTCAGAAAGATGCCTCTTATCGGTAATAAACTGAAAGAACCAAGCTTGATGAGATTGAAAATGAGTGTAAAATTGGATATATTGAGTTTGAGGTGTCTATGGAACACACAAACATGTTGACCCCTTTTAATAAGGGTCAAGACTTAAGGTGAAAGACTTGCTATATATGCATCTTCTGGAGGCATGCTTGAGAATGGGGTATCTATCCAGAGAAGGGTTAGCCATGCTAGAATGAGAGACAGTGGTTTCTTGGAACCTTTAGAACACAAAAGTTTAAGACGCAGGTAAGAGCCAGTAAAAGACCCCAGAGAAGGGAAAGTCATATAAATAAGAGAAGATAAGTGAAAAATGTTATTCATTTAACTAATATTATTGTGTGCTCAATATGGGGCCCTACTGGATACAGGAGATAGGCCAGGGCCTAAAACAAGTGTCCATGGATCTGACAAATCACTGGTCATCAATGACTTGGTGAAAGCATTTCCAGCTACAGACTATAGTGAAATAAACAATGAATGAGGCTGGACACAGTGGCTCACGCCTGTAATCCCAGCACTTTGGGAGGCCAAAGTGGGCGGATCATGAGGTGAGGAGATCGAGACCATCCTGGCCAACATGGTGAAACCCCATCTCTACTAAAAACACAAAAATTAGCCAGGCATGGTGGCGCATGCCTGTAATCCAGCTACTTGGGAGGCTGAAGCAGGAGAATCGCTTGAACCAGGGAGTCGGAGGTTGCAGTAAGCCGAGATCATGCCACTGCACTCCAGCCTGGCGACACAGCGAGACTCCGACTCAAAAACAAACATACAAACAAAAACAAAAAAGCAATGAATTGGTGGTAAGGAACACAGACAGCCTTTTTCCAAAGGGAGTTACAGCAGCAGGTAGAGGCTGACACTAGACCAGGGAAGGATTTTGGACGGGAAAAGAGATGCTAAAGGAGGAGTTTAGCAGGGATGAAAAAGAGAAGAAAGAGAGAAGACAGATAATATGACTGGAAAAGAGTCTTGTTTCAGGGTGGAGGGGGGAAGATCCTTACACTGTGAAAGGAAGAAAGGCAGTATCAATATATGGAAATACAAGTGGATGTTGACACAAGGCAGAAACTGGTGCATGTCTCCGATGACCTCTATTTCCTTGGTCAGAGAAGAGAAATGTTAATCCTCTGAAAAAGGATTGGAATATATTGATGGAGAGAGCTTGAGAAGATGGATGGTGACATAACTCCTAAGTAGGAATGAGAAAGATAACATATGGGATAAACAGAATTTTTACTCAGCAACAATCAGCACCTAGAAAGCTAGGGACTATGAATTTATAGTGTCACCAATACACAAAGTTGTCAAACAATCCATGCATTCCCCTCTATGCCAAAGGTTTAGGCATAAGCATAGACTTTATGACATGTACTTGTTTGTTTGTCTTGGGGGGTACTCAGTAAGTAGTATACTCTAAAATTATGGTATGCATCTGAAAACTCCTGACACAAATCAGAAAAATCCACTTAACACATTTGATAAGACCACTATCCTATGCCACCATCATCTCGAAAAAAAAATGTTTTTCAATGAGTCTGTTATGTAATGCATGTTGTTGTTCTTTCCTCTTAGCAAATAAAAACTGAAAATGAGGATTCGTTGCTAGAAATGTTGGATTTCACCCAGAGGCAATGGGAACCATTGAAGGATTTTTAAAGTAGAAAACAGCAGCTGGGAGCAGTGGCTCACGCCTGTAATCCCAGCACTTTGGGAGGCTGAGGCAGGTGGATCACGAGATCAGGAGTTCAAGACCAGCCTGGCCAATATAGTGAAACCCCATCTCTACTAAAAATTAAAAAAAATTAGCCAGGGGTGGCGGCGAGCGCCTGTAATTCCAGCTACTCGGGAGGCTGAGGCAGGACAATTGCTTGAACCTGGGAGGTGGAGGTTGCAGTGAGCTGATATGGAACCACTGTACTCCAGCCCGGGTGACAGAGCGAGACTCCGTCTCAAAAAAATTAAAAAAAAAAACCCAGCATGAACAGGTTTGTGTTTAGAACTATGTTCTATATTCTTATATTTAATAGATTAAAGTATACATTTATTTTTTCTGAATTAACCTAAAATATATCCATAAAACTTGAAGATTATTTGGGAGGCCAAAGTGGGCAGACCGCAAGGTTGGCAGTTCGAGACCAGCCTGGCCAACACAGTGTAACTCCATCTCTACTGAAAATACAAAATTAGTCAGGCACGGTGGCACATGCCTGTAGTCCCAGCTACTCGGGAGGCTGAGGCAGGAGAATTGCTTGAACCCAGGAGGTGGAGGTTGCAGTGAGCCGAGATCACACCATGGCACTTCAGCCTGGGTGACAGAGTGAGACTCCATCTCAGAAAAAAAAAAAGAAAGAAAGAAAAACTTGAAGATTATTAAAAATCTATATATCATTGCATTCAGGTGTATCATTTCTAAATTATAAAGCAAACCTCCATTTAACCACTAAACTATTAAAATGTTTTTTCATGTGTAATGCAAAAATACATACTGTTAGCCCTCTGTAACTATGGGTTTTACCAACAACAGATTGAAAATTTTTTTTAAAGGAATGGCTGTGTCTGCGCTGAACATGTACAGACTTTTTTTCCTTGTCATTATTCCCTAAGCAATATAGTATAACTATTTACATAACATTTACGTTGTATTGGGTATTAAAAGTTTTTACCTTAAGCTTGTGCCTCTTTTTCAACTGCAATGACCTCATATCACCAAGTTGAATCCCTAATCTACAGACAAGAAATTCTAAGAAATTATCAACTTACATACAATTTGTTTTTTAATAAGTACTTGGCCCTTATCAAAAGATCTATTCATTAAAAAATACAGAACTATACAGCTTAGAAACAGCAGCTAACAAACATTTCCTTCATATGGAATTCAGGTCACTCTAATATCCAAAATGACTTCCCAATCCTTCCTTGTTCTACACCTCCGCCTTTCCCTCCTTAAAGAATCTTCTAAATACTATCTTGATGTCAACTTTTTAGTAATTGGAGCTTGGCGTTTTTTTAATCCTAATCTTTATGCTGACATCTCTCTCCTGCTACCATTATCTCCCACCCACCATGAAGACAATCTGAAACGGGACAGGTTAAAATCCATTCTGGGGTTCTGGCACAGACGAAGGGTCTTCTGAAGACTGAATCCCAGTAATTATACTGGTCGAAGCTCAAGCCAGAGACCACTGTTTCTTTACCGTATATATCCCTTGATTTTTCCCACTCAAAACTCTGCTATCTGGAGACATAACCTAATAGACCACTTTTTGTTTTCTTTTGTTTTATAAATAATAGTACATCAGCTAAAATGTATAATAAAGGAACAATTTAAAATTCATCATGTCTATTGGAATCTTCCATTACTTTTAACCCCATTACCAGATACTAGCTACCTGTGTACTGAATGCTGTTCTGACAATCACACATTATTGTGTAGTCATTTAATGAACTGTAACTTCCAACAGGCAAGTATAAAATATCTACTGGCATTAGAAGATGTTGTGCTTATTCAGATACGGTTTCGGGAATGCACCACAGGAGCAACTCTGAAATGTGTAGATGAACCAAAAGATATCTGCCTCTTTCATTTGTATAATTAACACTATTTCTGAAATAAGTTTGAGTCTGGTTCCCATCACATACGATTCAAGTAAATAAAACGCAGCCACATTGCCGCCTAGAACTTAAGAAAAATCATATCATAAAATTGTGTCCACAAGAAAAGTCCATTTTAAAATATATTATGTCAAAATGAAACATTAGAGGAAAATACACAACCTAAATTAGAAACCAAATAGCAACTGCAAACTAAATACAGAGGGCTATTTTCTTCACCTTTCACTTTGAACAGCCTGGAAGAAAAGAAAATGCTAGCACTGTTATTCACCACTCTGTTGGCAAGAGCAGTGTTCACTGTCCCACTTTACCTCTGGTGGTGACTACCCTCGACTGATATACTCAAGAACCATTTCCAGGCTGGTGAAATGGCCAGAAGCACTATTTCTATTACACACAAACTTCCTTTTAACTTTTATTTTAGTTTCAGGGGTACACGTGCAGGTTTGTTCTATAGATAAATTGTGTGTCGTAGGGTTTGGTGTACGTTTTATTTCATCACCCAGGTAATAAGCATAGGTAGTTTTTTGACCCTCACACTCCTCCTGCCCTCCACCATCAAGTAGGCCCCGGTGTCTCTTGTTCCCTTCCTTATGTCCATGAGCATTCAATTAAACACAAACCTTTTTTTTGAGACGAGTCTCACTCTTGTTGCCCAGGCTGGAGTGCAGTGGCGCGATCTCGGCTCACTGCAACCTCTGCCTCCAGGTCAAGCGATTCTTCCGCCTCAGCCTCTCAAGTACCTGGGATTACAGGCGCCCACCACCATGCCCAGCTAAATTTTTTTTTTTTTTTTTTTTTTTGAGACGGAGTCTCGCTCTGTCCCCCAGGCTGGAGTGCAGAGGCGCGATCTCGGCTCACTGCAAGCTCCACCTCCCGGGTTGACGCCATTCTCCTGCCTCAGCCTCCTGAGTAGCTGGGACTACAGGTGCCCGCAACCACGCCCGGCTAATTTTTTGTATTTTTAGTAGAGACGGGGTTTCACCGTGTTAGCCAGGATGGTCTCGATCTCCTGACCTCATGATCCACCCGTCTCGGCCTGCCAAAGTGCTGGGATTACAGGCATGAGCCACCACGCCCGGCCCAGCTAATTTTCTTATATTTTTATTGGAGACGGTGTTTTATCATGTTGACCAGGCTGGTCTCGAACTCCTGACCTCAGGTGATCCACCTCCTCTGGCCTCCCAAAGTGCTAGGATTACAGGCATGAGCCACCATGCCTGGCCTAAACACAAACCTTTTAAACTGAAAATTTTTCATTAAGAAATATGTTTCCAAAATTTATACTTAAATTTGGGGCTGGGTGCAGTGGCTCATGCCTGTAATCCCAGCACTTTGGGAGGTGGAAGCAGGTGGCTCACCTGAGGTCAGGAGTTCGAGACTAGCCTGGCCAACATGGTGAAACCCCGCCTCTGCTAAAAATACAAAAAATTAGCCGGGCATGGTGGCGCATGCCTGTAGTGCCAGCTACTCAGGAGGCTGAGGCAGGAGAATCGCTTTAACCTGGGAGATGCGACTGCAGTGAGCCAAGACCGTGCCACTGTACTCCAGCCTGGGTGACACAGCAAGACTCCATCTCAAAAAAACAACAAAAAAAAACAGTAATAATTTGGAATCTCCCAAGTCATTGTGTCTTTTTTTTTTTTAAAGGCTTTTCAAAGTCAAGATTAGGTGTTGGTTGACAGGTACTGTGTGGCATATAGTAAGCACTATGTACTGTTAGCTGCTACTATTATTATTTCTACTGAAATCTATAGTTTCCTTACAACTAAAGTCAAATAAGCAGTAAATACAAATTATTCACCACCTGAATAAAACTCAGACTTGGGATGGTAATATTTCATTCAAACAAAGTTCAGAGAATACACAATGTAAAACAACCTCTGATTACTTCCATTCTATTAACTAAATGCACAACTGAAACTGAAAATACCATCAATCTACTCTGACCTATATCATCATTTCTAAATTTCTCTTTTGGAAAATGGATTAGCTATAACCATAATTTTAAAATCACCATGTGTTTATTGGGTAATCTCTTTTTTCTCAGTTCTATGATAAAAAATATCATAAAGCCTAATTTCTCTAACCTCAAGAAGTTTGCAATCTAGTTTGGTCATATATGTATATGTTTTGTGTGTTCAGGGACCATGTCTTTGCTCTCACTATAAGAGAAAGATAACATAGGAGGCTTGACCTGGATCTTCACTAATAGTATTTAGGTAGCTGAGCACAGGGTCTGAGCACAGGTATTCTAGAATCTTGCAGAGGATGGATGGAATACACCAAAGGAAGACTCCATTCTTGGCCAAATACAAACATCATACTGAGTCAGAAAATACTCTCTGATGAAACCAGTAATAGCAAATTCTAATCAGCCTTCAAATACTTGACAATGAATGTAGATATGCACCACACGTTGTCCTAAGTACTTTACATGTATTATCAATTTAATCCTCATAACACCTGTGAGAGGTAAGCAAGTGATATTATCACCCCAATTTTGCACATCAGAAAACTGAGACACAGAGGGATTAAATAACTTACCCTCAGTCACCCAGCTAGCAAGCAGCAGGACTGGGATTTGAAGCCACCTTAGCAGCAGCATCCTTTATCTTAATCACAGCACTATACTACCTCAAGACTATAACTCTCAAGACCCAGGCAAAAGAGATAGACACATATATGAAGGAATACAGAATAAAATGAAAGAAAATGGAATGGGATGGGATCTCGTGAAAGAGAAAGACATATAAAAGCCAACTTTTATCTTAATCACAGCACTATACTACCTCAAGACTATAACTCTCAAGACCCAGGCAAAAGAGATATACACATATATGAAGGAATACAGAATAAAATGAAAGAAAATGGAATGGGATGGGATCTCGTGAAAGAGAAAGACATATAAAAGCCAACATATAAAAGACATATAAAAGGTTTTGTCCAAGAACCTCTTGTAGGATGCACTGGCACCAGAAATGTCTACATAAGAAGACTCAGCTCTGCCAAGCTCCAAAACAGGTTTTAACATTATAAAACAGTATTCACTATACTACAATCTCAATGCTTATTGACAGGGGAAGCAAACTCCTACAAAAACTAAAAAATAAAAGTTTAATATTTATAAATAGACAATCTTAAAAAACAGAATATGCCTGGCTATAGAGACCAATAGTTACAAACAGGTTCAATCAAAGTCCATAAATTGAATCCTTCAGCCTCAGTTTTTAAAAATTTTCTTGATGGATATTTAAGCAACCTTATTACATAAAAACTGCTTTTCCAGATGTAGGAATAAAAAATTCAGTAAGAAGCAATCCTTATCATCAAGAAATGTCTTCTGTAAGATTACGTATACATGATTCTGTAACATCTGATGACTATTTTGAAAACAGTATTTACTCAACATCTTACTGATGTTGCTGGATCTCTAAGTGCTTCTAAATACTCGGTTTTTGCTCTTCAAGTTTGTAGCATATATCATCCAATTTTCAGACCTACCTAAAGGAGGACCAAAGGTTTTCCCATTAGTGAAAGAATCTCTATATAAAATAAAATAACAGTATCATTAATTTGTTAAATTCTTTCAACTTACAATCCCTCACATCATCTGTAGTAATTCCACCCAGTTTAGGGACGCGTTAAGGAATAATCTGTGAAGAGAGAATGGGGGCAGAAAATTCTGCTTCTCTTACTCCAGTAGGACAGTTTCACTGAGGAAGGAGAATTTCTAATCAAATGGACAAGTTTTAATAAGTCACTGATGAAAATCTGCAAAACGATGCTGATCACAATGCAAATCATTAACTGGGCTCCTGGAGACCCAGGAAAAGGAAGATTTTTTTTAACTGGATAAAATGTAAATATTTTACTTTTGAAATTTTAACCATGCCACCCTTTAGTAATTTATATGCAATTAAGTAATCTCCTCACAGTCTGAGCCAAAATATTACAAAAATATTTTGCTATTTTCATGGATTTCTCAAATATTAAATACTTCATTATCACTGCATAGTAACTCTTTTTTTTTAAGTCTTGTCACAGAGTATTTTAAGATTCATCATCTTTATGCTACCTGGTTTAAGATCTGGCCACAAAACTGCCACCCTACACTGATCAAAGTCTTCAACAAATCAAAAATGCAGGAGTTGACCATATAAGGATTCCAGTGCTTTCTATCTTTATTCTAAAAATACATATGCACAAGATCTTCTGAAATAATGTCTTAACTAGTAAATTAATGTGGGGATTGGGGGAATACTATATTCCCCTTATACACACTATAGTAAACAAAATAAAACTGGTTTCTTGACTCCACTATTAAAAGCCTCCCTCGTGGGAAGGGTATTGCGTGCTGTAATCTTCAGTTTAAGTCATGAAAAATTAACTTGGATAATTGAAAAGATGGAAAGCGTTTTAAAATTTAAAAGACGGAAGTTTTTTTAAAATCCTGTTAAAAAGTAATTCTTTTTTTAAAAAATTATTAACTAGAACGTGCATTTCTTTCAACTTCACTTTACAACTTACAGTGAATACTACCCATTCTAACATAAAGAGTGGCCTCTTGAAGCTCAGTTCTCTCATCTCCCAATTTAGTTGGCTCTAGACAGTCTGATGGGACAACAGTTCAAATTCTTCAAAAAAGGCAAGCATCTAAATCACTTCCAGATCTGCCTCTGATAGTGTAAAAGTCTTGCATTAATAAAATAATTAAGGCAATTATAAATTATGTTGACATGCTTATCTATTAACATAATTGCAAAAACAAAGGTAGTCATCTCTAAAGAAAAAGAGAAAATAGAACAACAATGTAAACAAAAATTCCTTTGGACTTAATCTCATCTGTGAATAATTAGAAGAATTTAAGTGGATTTGGAAGGGGTGGTGAAAGACTGAGGAGATAGGATTACAGTGTCTTTCACTTTGATGTATTAAAAATGAAGTAGAAGTTACAAAGTTTAAACACACATACACATGCACACACCCATACCCTTCAACCATCAACAGCAACTAGCCTACCTGCCCCATTTTTCATTTGATTGGAGTTAATACAAATAACAAGAGTTGTATTCAAACTTTGATTAAAACAAAATGAACAGAAAACAACTATTTTCACTCTTCTTAGACTCAAGATAACTCTTTCCATTTTTTGGTCTATTTGAACTAATTTACAGTTCAGGAGAAACTAACTCATGTATATCACTAAAAATTTGGTCAAAATATCTCTTGCCACATCTTAAAATAAATGCCTAATCCAAAATTCTATAATAGAAAAAAATTATGGCATGAATTCCATCAGAAGGATGGTTCCATTTTATGTCTTCTAATGACTAAGTTTTATAGCCAAATTTATTTTCTATATTTTTTACTTGCTATATATTTTTATAACAAAAGCATTGCATTTCTATTGAAATTCTTGTTGAGGAAAATTCAGGAGTTACATACAAGCATAAAACAATTCTATTCAGTGATCATTTTAAATTATTTGGTGTATTGGCCAGGCACGGTGGCTCACGCCTGTAATCCCAGCATTTTGGGAGGCCGAAGAGGGCAGATCACGAGGTCAGGAGATCGAGACCATCCTGGCTAACATGGTGAAACCCTGTCTCTACTAAAAATACAAAAAAAAAAATTAGCCAGGCGTGGTGGTGGGCACCTGTAGTCCCAGCTACTCGGGAGACTGAGGCAGGAGAATGGCGTGAACCCTGCAGGCAGAGCTTGCAGTGAGCCAAGATTGCGCCACTGCACTCCAGCCTGGGCGACAGAGCGAGACTCCGTCTCAAAAAAATAAAAAAATAAAAATAAAAAGTAAATAATCTGGTGTATTTACTTCCATTTTACATAAACATATGTTTTTCAAAAATATATTTTTGTCATTAACACATTGTTTTCTAAACTGATATTTAAAGAACATTCTGGGAGATATTAGTATCTATTCCACTAAAAAAAGTGTTGTATTGTTTAAAATAGGTTTAAGCAAATTTAACAGATGTCTTTTTGAGGACATCTCAGAGCCTATAATGAGCTAACACTTATTATGCTTTTTCAAGTAATAATAAATGACCTGGGAAGTAAGTCATAATAAATCTGGGTAGCAAGCAGCTTCCCAAATTTATTTCCTACTTAATATATTTATTCTCCTTGTTCATCTGTTAGCTTCTAGCTTGGGAAATGTATAAAGTACATTATATCGGAAGGATATTCTTACATAAAATTTTGTAAACTAAAATTTTTTAAACCATGATTTTAAGGCCATAAATTATTACATCTAAATATCTTATAGTCCACTAGATTTTTTCCAAATTCTGTTGTCATTTTATATAGATCTTACTATATGTGTGTAACTATTCATTGAAGATAAAGTGCTAACCTTCTACAGAAAATGGTACAAAACTGCCTAAACGGCTACATATTTCACATAGCACCTTTTCACTGAACTTGTATCAAAAGTATGTTGTCATTTGCTTAAATATTTGTTAATTTGGCACATTTTCTTAAATATTTGTTAATTTATTTTAATTTGCATTTATTTGCATAAGAGTAAGGCCTTTTTTTCATATTTTATCAGACATTTGCATTTATCTTTCTCAGACTGGATTTTAGTTCTCTCTCCTCCATACTTTTTTATCTCATTCTTTTCATTTCTTGATCCTTCTCTTGAAATCTGAAAGAGTTCCTGAAGCATACTCTTTACTTCAGTTTTTAAAATCATGAATTCTTTCTTGCCCCCTCTGCAGATTTGTGTCCAACCCTGTTTTAGTGTTCCTTGCAATCTTCCCAAACCTTTAGAGAAGCAGTCTGTTCTCCTTAGAGCTCTTTGCTGAAGTTTCATAAATATCATATCTTCTACCTTCTGTTATGCTAAACTGTTTTCTAAGTGTTCTAGTCATTACAAATATTTCAAAAAATGTGCTTTCCTCTTGCATCTTCAGGATGATAGGCCCTCACCTGGCATAGTTTTCTAAATTAGGTCCCAAGTTGTTTGCCACCTTTCTACTGCCTTTCTGTAATGATGACGGCATCTACCACAAAACAGTTTGGCCTGCCCATTATGCCCTTAGCTGATTATAGACATCCCTTTTCAATGCTATAGCAAGAATGTAGAAAGATATGAAGAGTTAGAAGCCCAGTTCTCAGTGACTGTGATACATTCATTTAAAGCTGGTCTTCTGGACTGCAGCAGGACCTTCTTGTTACATATTGTTAATCAGCAAAAGGAGCACTTGAAAACTAAAATGCCTACCATTGAGTTCTCTGTCCCCACCTTGAGCCCTTTACAGGAGGAAACCCCCTCCTTTCAGGATGCAGTAGTCAGCTGCTCCCCCTCTCCCAGGTTCTTGCTGTTTTCTATGACTTACGCTGCTAGCTGGCTGGAGAAAGACATAAGAAGAGAATAGAGACATATGGAACAGGAGGTCAGGAGGCGGCATCAGTGATGATAATGCTACAGCATCCTCAGAAAAACGGCACCCCTGCAGCAGATGGAGGGCTGCCCAGTTTTCTAGCTGTTAAAAGATCATGGGTCTCTGAGCAAGCAGCAGATCTTATCAAAAAAACAACAACAACAAAAACTACCTCTACATTTCTTACTTTGGATAGCTGGGTTTTCTTTTTCATGAGACAATCTGTTTTTTTCCCCAGGCCAGCTCCTTATAGGTGAAAGAAATGCATCAAAATTTCTAGCAATTGTCAGTCTTTTTTGTTGTTGTATTCCCCCTGGGCCTTCACTGGTCTTTTAGCAGAAAACTGGAAGAGGCTGTGTTAACAACTGCAAAGTTATTCGAAGTTTTATTTTATTTTCATTTGACAAATACTAACTGTACACATTTATGGGGCACACAGTGATGTTTCAATAAATTACTGAGATTTAAATAATCAATTCAGACCTCTCTAAAATTTAAATGTAAGTTAAAATCTGATTATTTCACTTCCAAGCACAAGAATTTGATTAACTCAAATAACTTTATTTTAAATAAATTTATTAATGCTGAAAAGAATAATACACAGGAGACTAGAAGGCACTGTTTATCTAGAAGTCACAAATATCACCAGTGGCAGCAATGCACATTCCTTTTCTTCAGTGGTAACTGGAACCAGAAGACTTAGAAACAGGCTTTCCCTTTAGTTGAAGTTGAAGGTGATTAACAAAAAATAAGCACTATCCTCTGTCTTCAGAGTTTTAATTATCCCGTATTTTTGTTACGTACATGTTATGTTATTTTAAAAGAGATGGGAAGAGCTTTTCTGAAGGTCTATGTTAGACATAGTTTCATAGTGATGAAAAACATCTGAAAAGAGTCATCGGCACACCAGTGCAATTTAGAGCAAATGCTGTAGAGTCCGAGAAACCTGAGTTTAAGTCCAGGCTCTACTATTTAATAGCTGTGTGACCTTGAGCAAGATAATTAACCTCACTATGGCTCTGATTTCTTTTCTATCAAATGAAGATATTAATAATGCTTGCTTCATCAGATGGTTATGAGACTTAAAATGAGAGAGAAGGCAAGTAACATAATAACTGTTAGATAAGTGCTCTATAAATGTTTGGTGTTCTTATCCCCCCACATATTATAAAATAAAATAATCTCAATATGAACCAGAATTCCTTTAAAGAAGGATCCTTTAAAGAAGACTAAAGGATCTTTTTAATAATCATCCACAGTGGTTTGTTAGAACTGATAATTTGTTTACAATTTTTTTGCACCTAGATTATTATGGTTGGTGCCATCCAATATATGTTAGGCATATTCTGGAATAAAAGAATGTGAATCCTTTGTCCTTATTGATTATATTTCAGTATAAGAGATGATAATTGAATAGACTACAAAGAAGGAAAAAAGAAAAATACTGATGCTTTAGAAAATAGCCCTCAAGTTTAAAAGCTTACAACCCTAGAGCAGAGGTTCTCAAGGGGATCACATAAAGAGTAGCTTTTTGGAAAATAAGTTATCGCATTTTTGGCTTGCACAATGACTAGGGAGCATGTCTTTCTTTTCATGGGCCAAGAATAGGCTTGCTAGGTTTACTGCAATACAGGAGACTGTCCCAAACGAAGAGTTTTCATGGGTCCCTCAAGACTCTTGAATGAATGGCTGGACTCATGAGAGTGAAAAATATGTTTAATTATCTCAGTCTAGAACCTTACTGCATTTTACATATAAATGCATAGTATTTATCAAAGATTTTAAATACATACTGAATTCCAAGAAGGCAACAACTACATAAATCAAGAGATTTGTGTTGTTCAGAGCCTTGTCACCGTTATCAAAAACTTGCATCCACAATCTCAATACCCCTTGTTGTTTCTGAGTCACTGATACAACAAAACTTTTTCAGCCTTCATTTGTAAATATGCTGTTCATAGTGGTGCTACATATAAGTACAAGAATCTATCTACTTCATTATTCTTATTATAGTCATGTCCACATATTTCCATATTCAAATTCATTATTTTTCAAAATGCACTTCTTAAATGTTTTTATAAAATTATTTTCATATAATCTCTCCTTTATATTAGGGTACAATTACAGTAGAGCATCATGTCCATTTTTTATCATTTCAGGATACGAAAGGCCTTATTCAATAGATGAGGCATCTTGGGGCTTGCTAGAAGGAATAGAGAGCTTCACAGTAGTCCTCAAATATATGAAGATAGCCCAGGGGAAATGCAAATAATTCAAACAGTTACTTTCCTTCAACTACAGATTGAACAGGAAATAAGTTTAATTTGCAATAAGAGGAAGGTAGGTTAAGTACTCTGATCACCATCCTGAAGAAAAAGGCTGTAAAATCACTGGAATGACTGAGAAATTTCTGATCAACATTTCTAAGCCATTTAAGAATGAGATAAGTAAAGTTTTCTTAAAAATCAAACTGGACTGAAAATTGGAGCAATTCTATAATTATTCATTTGTTTTTTTTTAAATTTCCAAATGTTGAATTCATACAGAATTCAATCTTCAGGTTTAGTGCTTTTGCAGTGATTTGGAGAAATGGAGGGTGAGGTGTGAAACACCTTCAGAGAGTGTCTGAAGTCTGATGGCGGCATGTGCTGCTAGTCTGACCATGACCTCCTCTTCCTCCCCTCCCCCTAAATAAATTTTAAAAAGAAACAAAAATAACACTAGCCTTGAAAACAACAAAGCTTATTTTGAATATCTCTTAAACCAAAAACAATAAAAGTTACCTTATTTATGAATTCAGTATCATTCATTACATTAAAGATAATACTATCTATAAGATACAGCCTCCATACATATTATCCTCATGGAGAGAATATATTTTATGAACTACCATAAAACCACCTGCATCTTTGATCAAAAATTTTAATTTGGGATAAAAAGTAGTTCAATCTTTGATATTCACTGTAAAGTAAAATTCACTTAAGTGGTTTGTATTCTTAGCTTTACAATTGGACACAGTATTTCAATAAATTAAAATCTCTAGAGGTAGCAATCACACATAAAGGTCAAGCTTCAAACTGACATGAGTCTTTCCCAAAGAAACTTTTCATTTTTACTTCATGAACTCCACGTTATGAAAAATTTAGTAAATAAATGAGTTGCTTTTTTAAGTAATAAACATTTGCTCATTTTTAATAAACACATACAATTTCGAATTAGTACTCTGACCAAGATAATGTAATCAGTGATACCAATCTGGGTTTGCAGGTCCCCGGAGTCTGGAAACTCCAGGCTGGGGACCACGAATCCACAATATATTAGGTTCTAAGAACATAAAATATGGCTATTAAGAGCAAACCAATTTTTCACAAAAAGACTTTCAATTTTAAACCACCTAATATTTCTTTGTCTAAATCCCAGAATTTTTCTTGTAGCTGGAATTCCACACATGGTCTCCATATCCCCCAAAGAAATGTTCTTTCCAGATGAGTTCCTAAGAACAGAAATATGTTTCTTCGAAGTCAGCAAGCTATTTATAAAAACTACAGTAGCTCCCAAGGGAAGATCAATTGGCAAGTATAAAATTACTTTATATATAGTCTAGTAGTTGCTCTGGCTTTTTTTTAAGGAGGAGAAATAAGACAGTGATATCAAAAGATAAGTTACATGGAATGCAATAATTTTAATGTGGGTGCTTGCCATTACAAGAAGAAAATGCTACTGATTAATTTTCACGACCCTGTAAAACAGCTAAATCCCATAATGAATGGGCAAGGACATAAATGTAAGAAAACCAATAATGTACTTTTGTTACCATGACAACCATTTGGAACTAGAAAAAGCAACATCTTAATTGTAAAAGTATCATATTTTAGTAATATTAAAATATAGCTTATCAATTTAGATTCTTTAATCTATAAATGACTGGTTAATTATATGCTAAAATTTCTATCATTCCTCAAAATTAGACATAGTAATGTCCATATGTGTGTATACATATATTTTTTCCTATCTATTCAGTTTAAATAACTTTTCTTCCAAATATTCACTTAAAACCGCAGATTATATTCAAAATGTTGTTTAATGGATATGGCCTGTACACATCTAAGAAGAATGGAGGCTGGCCATAAAGAACCAAGAGAGCCATGCTAGTGTATCCCAGCTGAATACTGTACCTCCTTACACCTAATCCACTTGTAGTAACTACACTCATTTTGTATTTGTAAGAAATAATAACTGCAATGAATACAAACAGGTAAGGGAAAATGTGTTTGCCTTTAGCACAAGTTACCTGAATAATCTCTTATCTTTCACCATCTTTATTTCCAATCTACACAATGTAAGAGCAGTGGCTTACATTCATGCAACAAACACTTACTGATAACACACTATGAGCCTACATTATGCCAGGCACTGAGTGTACGAAGATGTACAGGACAAACAAGGTCTTCATACTCGTAGAGTTTACAGACAGTTTTAAATCTAGTTGGAAAGAATAAAAATTTGTGTATATGTATGCTTGTGGTTCCTTATTTTATTTGCATAGTGTTTACTATCTGCCAAGCATTAACCTATACGCTTTATAATGATCTCAACTGACTCCTTTGTTTGCATAAATATATAAATATAAAATTTCAAGTGATCATTCAATAAAGAACAGAAAATAATAAATATTATAAGATAAAATATGATTAATAGCTGTATAAATTAGAGGTATGTGTTCAAAGAATATCAGTTACTGGACTATGAGGAAAGTAAATAATTTTTAAAATTATTATAGACTAAAAGTAAATTCATATCAAGGATAAAAACATGTTCTAATGCTAATAGCCAACATTTCTCCAAAACTAACTTCTTGGAAGTTAGGAATAGGTCACTGAATCCTATCCTTTTACTCTAAGATACATGTGTCTACTTAGTATCTACTGCAAAATTCAAATCAGAACTATATTTCTTAACATGTCACTTAAATAGAGATTAACTATATTTTTAATTCCAAAGTCCAGCAAGTTATAACTCAAAATTATTTTTGTCACCAGACTTTCATAGAAACCAATGAACTGGTTTGACAAAGAGTCATTCTCAGTTTTCCTATCAAAATTACTTACATTTGGAAATCCAGCATACCCCTCTACGAGGACGGTAACTATCTTGGTCTGACTGATGAAATTTGCAGACTCTACTGTGTTTACCAAAGGGGCTTGCATGATGCTAAATAATTCTTATAAGCATTTTCCCCTTTCCAGTAGGAAGACATTTGTAACATTCTCTAATTTGGAAGAAAAAAAAACCTGAGAATTCCCAGTGGAAATAGAAGTATCTGTTTATTTATCTAATAAACGTTTAGTGATTACCTTCTACAAGTAGTAAACATTTACAGGGCACATGCCAGTCATTGCACTAGCCACAGCCACACAAGTAAGTCTATTTATTGCCCTCATGGGAAATGGAAGAAAGAACATAAATGCAAGCATATTCCAAGAGGAAACAAAAAGAACCCATGGAGAGAGAGATTTAAGATACAAGAACAATCTGGGATATCTGTTTGGAGTAAGTTTCGAAGAAAATGGGGCTGGTGAGGAGGGCATAGGAGGCTAGACCACAGGTAGTAGGATCCAGCCTTGGACAAGAGCGGTACACTCAGAGGTACCACTGAGGCAGGGGTTATTAACCTGAAGACCACAGATGCCCAAAAGATTCATGCACAGGATGAAGGATAGAAATTCAATGGGAAAAAGATTTTCTATTTTTATGAACTTTTAACTAAGATCTAGCATTTCTTTATGAACATAGGCAACAAATCACAGTACGATTACCAATACCTGTGACCTTGCCACTGGCAGAAATCACAAACATTTTCACACCATATCTCAGCTGTTACAGATATCTTGAAAGATTGTTTACATTACTACTTTGAAAATAAGGCAGTCACGCTACCTGCCACTAGAGTTTGTTTAACACATCATAAAGACACATGCATTATAGCACAATTGTGCTTTTTATATTTTTGAAAACTGTATTCTATTCATTAATTTCCTTTGCAATGCTATACATTTTTTTTTTTTCATTTAAAAATTACCTTGAAGAGGCAGTCCTAGGTTTCCCTAGACTGCCAAAGGGATCCATGGCACAAAAAAGGAAGAGCCCCTGCTCTGAAGCATGAGGAAAAGGATTAAAAAAATGAAGTCAGGAAGGATTATGTTGTAATCTCCCTCCATTGTCTCAACTCTTTAGTCAAAGCCCACTGCACACAAGAGCCCCATGTCCATGGTGCTGTGGGAGGCTGAAGGAATGGCATCAACAAGAACTGGGAGGAAGGGAAAAAAGCAAGTCTGAGGCAATCCTGTAAGCACTGTAGGTTTCTAATAAAGGGTTGGAACAAATGGAGAGAGAATACAGTAGATCCTAGCACAGGCAACAGCTGGTCTACGAAAATCACCGAGCACTAGCCTTGCACTTGGTTTCTAAGCGCACCTTCTCTCCTAGCCCTTCCTTACTTCTTGTTCCCACAGAAACTAAAACACACACACACACACACACACACACACCAAAAAACCCCTCCTACCTTATTATGCCCCATCACATCTAATTACCAACCTGCATCTGTGGCCAGATGCACTCTCTGCTTTCCCCCTAACTGGATAAACAGGCTGTGTACCTACCTGAGCCCATCCCCCTGTCCCTGTTTTTGCATGAGATCCCATCTTCTCTGGCCAACTCAAGCACAGCACTACAGCAGTTTCCCCTTCTCTCTTTTCTCTCTCTACTAGATCATTCCCATGATGTATTTACTTTCATTTTAAAAAACAAAATCAAAAACAACAACAAAGAAAACTCTCTTGACCTCATTTCCTATTCCAGCTGCCACTCATTTCTCAGCTCCCTTTTTCCTCAAGAGAACGGTCTAAATCTGCTGCCTATACTTCGTTTCCCCGCCTTGACCTCTACTGAAACCAACCCAATCAGGCGTCCCTCAACACTCCAACTTGCTTTTGTCAAGGGCACCCGTTGACTCTCCAAGTTGCTAAACTTTAAACAGGACTTAACTGAGGTTATCAATTCCTTCTCTTTCAAATACTTTCATCACATGGCTGCCAGGACACATATGCACTCCTGATTTCCCTACACCTTGCTTTTTCTCATTCTCCTTTGCTCATTTATTACCCCAACTTCCAAACCTTGGAGTGCTCTGGGCTCAGTCCTCATACTGCTTTCTATCTACATTCACTCCCTACATGGTCTTGTACCACTTAGTGGCTTTAGGTAAAACCTATATACTAACAAAACTCAAACTTTTATCTGGAGCCAGCCTGAACTCCAGCCTTGCATATCCATTTTAATTGACATCTCAGTGTATCTAAAAATGAATTTCTGGTTTCACCCATGTCTTCACCTCTCAGTCCCTCTCAGCCTTATGAATGGGAACTCCATCATGTCATCTGGAAAAATCCTTGGAATTGTTCTCGATGCCTCCCTCTCATTTATCTACTACATCTAAATAAAATCCTTTCTATTTGTCCTTTAAATACACCCTGAATTTTACCTTTTCTCATCAGCTCCACCCCTGCCATTCTAGCCCACCTGGAACCGCTTCAGTAGCCTCTAGCAGGTCTCTCACTCCCACCCTTTGTCCTAACATTCCTATCCATGCAGCAGCCAGAATCATCAATGATAGTTCATATTATCCATGTGATCAAAACATTCCAATGACTTTCCATGTCACTAAAAATAAAAACTAAAGTCCTTAAGACTGTCTATGAGACCAATCATGATCTTGGTGCCTGTTACCTCTCTGATCTCCCTCTTACTAGTTTCCTCTTAGATCATTCCACTCCAAGTATGCTGGCCTCGTTGCTGGTCTTCAAGCGCATTGGGCACATTGCTGCCTTGGGTCATCTGCACTTGCTGTTCACCAGGATTGTCTTCCCCCAATATAAAACGAATTGTACCTCACTCCTAATCCATGAAAGTCAAAGCAGTGATTAATTCCTTAAAATAACCATTTATCCCCCATTTGCAGTTCTGTAAATTGGGCATGTTGGGGGTTTAATGATGAAGAACTATTACATAGAGCAGTTCAATGAATTTTAATTCTCTACAAATGGCTTTCATAGATTGAGAGCTTAACTGATATCTAGCTTCCTTTTCTTCTAATTCCTAATAAAATCCTAAGATTATAATAGGCTAGAATTGCATTTACTTACCAATACTACACCTGTATTAAACTGGATATTTCTTATGCTTACATCCTTGAATTTTTTTAATTTTTAATTTTTGTAGGCACATATTAGGTGTATACATTTATGGAGTACATGAAATATTTTGATGCAGGCACTCAATACATAATAATCACATCAGGGTAAATGAGGTAACCAATACCTTAAGCATTTATCATTTCTTCGTGTTACAAAAAATCCAATTATACTCTTTTAGTTTTTTTAATGTACAATAAATTACTGTTGGCTGCTATCAAATAGATCTTATTCATTCTGTATATTTTTGTAGCCTTTACCCATCCTTACTTGCCACTCCCAATCCCACCCCACTACCCTTGTCAGCCACTATGAAACATCATTCTACTCTCTATCTCCACAAGTTCAGTTGTTTAAATTTTAGCTCCCACAAATGAACAAGAACATGCAAAGTTTGTCTTTCTCTGCCTGGCTCATTTCATTTAACATAATGTCCTCCAGTTCCACCTATGTTGCTGCAAATGACAGTCTCATTGTTTTTTATGGCTGAATAGTACTCCATTGTGTATTTGTACCATATTTTCCTTATCCATTCATCTGGTAATGGACACCTCTGGTTGCTTCCAAATCTTGACTATTGTGAACAGTGCTGCAATAAACATGGGAGTGCAAATATCTATTCGATAACACTGATTTCCTTTCTTTTGGGTAAATACCTAGCAGTGGAATGGCTGGATCATATGGTAGTCCTGTTTTTACTTTTGTCAGGAATCTTCACACTGTTTTCCATAGTGGCTGTGCTAATTTACACATACACGAACAGTGTACAAGGATTCCCATATCTCTACATCCTCAACAGCATTTGTTACTGCCTGTTTTTTGGATAAAAGCCATTTTAACTGGAGTGAGATTATATCTCATTGTAGTTTTAATTTGCATTGCTCTGTTGATCAGTGATGTCTAGCACCTTTTTATATACCTGTTTGCCATTTGTATGTCTTTTGAGAAATGTTTCTTCAGATTTTCTGCCCATTTTGATCAGATTTTTTCCCATTCAATGTTTGAGCCCCTTATATTTTCTGGTTATTTATTCCTTGTCAGATGGGTAGTTACAAGTATTTTCTCCCATTCTGTGGTTTGTCTCTTCACTTTGTTGACTTTCTTTTACAGTACAGAAGCTTTGTAACTTGATATAATGCCATTTGTCCATTTTTGCTTTGGTTGCCTGTGCCTGTGGAGTATTACTCAAGAAATTTTTGCCTAGTCCTATGTCCTAGAGAGTTTCCCCAACGTTTTTTTTTTTTGAGTAGTTTCACAGTCTGGGGTGTCAGATTTGTCTTTAATCTATTTTGATTTGATGTTCGTATACTGTATTAGGGTTCTCTAGAAGGACAGAACTAATGGAATGGATATATAGATATAGATATATAGATATATAGATACATATATACATATAAAGGGGAGTTCATTAAGTATTAACTCACATGATCACAAGGTCCCACAATAGGTTGTCTGCAGGCTGAGGAGCAAGGAGAGCCAGTCTGAGTCCCAAAACTGAAGAACTTGGAGTCCGATGTTCAAGGGCAGGAAGCATCCAGCACGGGAGAAAGATACAGGCTGGGAGGCTAGGCCAGTCTCCCTTTTCACATTTTTCTGCCTGCTTACATTCTAGCTGCACTGGCAGTTGATTAGATTGTGCCCACCCAGATTAAGGGTGGGTCTGCCTTTCCCAGCCCATTGACTCAAATGTTAATCTCCTTTAACAATACCCTCACAGACACACCCAGGATCAATACCTTGTATCCTTCAATCCAATCAAGTTGACCCTCAGTATTAACTAACCATCATATATATGATCAGAGATAGGAATTTTGTTTCATTCTTCTGCATAGAGATATCCAGTTTTCCCAGCACCATTTCTTGAAGAGACTGGCTTTTCCCCAATGTGTGTTCTTGGCACCCCTGTCAAAAACGAGTTCACTGTAGATGTATGGATTTACTTCTGGGTTCTCTATTCTGTTTGACTGGTAACATGTATCTGTTTTTATGCCAGTGCCATGCTGTTTTGATTACTATAGCTCTGCAGCATAACTTGAAGTCAGGTAATGTGATTCCTCCAGTTTTGTTCTTTTTGCTCAGGATGGTTTTGACTATTCTGTTCCACTGAAATTTTCTAAACACCTTTTAATATACTTGATGAGGTAACAAATATTAACACAGATTACTAAGGAAGAAATAATTCTTCCAAATTCCTTCCCTATATAGGCTGATTCTCTATTATGCCAAAATAATAACACTTTCTGGCTATTTCTTCTTAAAGGATACATATAAATAGACTAGATACTAATATTTTGCTTATACTTAGAATTTCAATTAAAAACTGGTTTTGCAAACTTTAAACAGAAGATATAAATAAGAGATAAAAACTTTAGCTTGTGACTGAAAGAAATAGGTATTTCTTTACAAGTTTTGAAAGTGACCATTCTTAAATTAAGAATTTCCTTGGTTGGCCAGGCACGATGGCTCACGCCTGTAATCCCAGCACTTTGGGAGGCCCAGGCGAGTGGCTCACAAGGTCAGGAGATCGAGACCATCCTGGCTAACATGGTGAAACCCCGTCTCTACTAAAAATACAAAAAATTAGCCGGGCGTGGTGGCGGGCACCTGTAGTCCCAGCTACTTGGGAGGCTGAGGCAAGAGAATGGCGTGAACCCGGGAGGCAGAGCTTGCAGTGAGCCAAGATCGCGCCACTGCACTCCAGCCTGGGCGACAGAGTGAGACTCCATCTTAAAAAAAAAAAAAAAAAGAATTTCCTTGGTTATTGTCAGTCTCATCTTTTCTAACCTAACCATTTATTCTGAACTGCCTTAAAGTTCAACAACTGCCTGATATTGAACCGAAATTTTTAAAAGTACAAATGTAGTTTTAAAAATAGTCCCTTATATAACTTTCTACCCTATTATTTACTCTTTAAATTATATAATTAAAACCTCTACGAAATATTTCATCTATGATATATTTATTTTATAAAATTCTAATCAACATTTTGTGATTTTTTTCATCTTTTAGTGTTGATACTCTATTTTGCTCCCTTCATATTGGATAACAGCAGAGAAATGCTTACAAGAAGCTAAACCAGAAGAACCAGCAGTATTACTAATTTAATTTTTCCTCTTTACTCTCTGGATTTTCCTTGAAGAAGGACCCAGGTGAAAATATTTGGCTGCCAGGGTCTGGCCCACTATTATCTTCTCAGTCACATTCATTAATCTCATCAATTTGCACTCCTGATTAGTGAAAAACATGATTCACTGACAATTATCCAGTGATCAATATGAAATTGATTTGAAATTCAGAGCCACTGCTTATTTCTTTTTTCAGCAAGTCTTTCTTTCCCAGAGCAAAATCTGGTGAAACTAAACTGCCTATGGCCCATATTGTATGTGAAACAATCTGGGGCGGGGAGCGGGGCAGCGGGGGGAAGTCAGGCAGACATAAAGAAGACAGCAGAGAGCAAGAGACCTGGCCAGTATCCCCTCTCCGGTCTTCTGCTTCAGGCTCCTCTACATAGTACCCATCCCTCTGGCATGGAAATGGGGCAGGTGGGGAATGACTTGGATCCTCCCACACTTTCTCCTAGATAATGTAATCTTGAGCAGAGAAGCTGACCAGAGGTAAGTCATTCACTTGTAGGATCTCTAGACACTCAGGTAAACAGGCAACTGGCTCTAATCCTAAGGCCTCATTGTTTAACTCTTCCTTTGAGCCACTCTGAATCCTCTCAACTAATTCACTTTCCTTAAGATTAGTTTCTGTTTCTTGTATCTGTAACAGAGGGAGCTGGGCACAGAAAGAGCAAGCCACAGAGGAAGAAGAGTCGAACTAGAAGATTCACACACACACACACACACACACACACACACACAAAGATGATTCAGAATAGAATGGCTACATTAGTTTCTTTTTTAACCTTTTTTTGTGATGAAAACAATTAAGATCAATTCTTTTAGCAAATTTCAAGTATGCAATACATTATTATCAGCTATGGTCCCCATGCTGCACATGAGATCTCTAGAACTTACTCATCTTCTAACTGAAAGCTCGTACCCTTTAACCAACATCTCCGCATTTCCCCCCATACCCCAGCCCCTGGGGACCACCATTCTACTCTTTGTTTCTCTAAACTTAGAAAGGTTATGCTTACATTTCATATGTCTTAGAAGTTTCTGGTTTAGAGCTGCAGCCCCAGGTCATCCATCATTATTCCTACAAAACTGGAAGTGCACTAGGAAACTGACCAGAGCAGGAGGTGAGTACCCAAAATCAAGGAGGCAAAGGTGAGCTGCACCTCAATGAGAACAGAGGAAACGGCTCGTAAGGCTTTTCACCCCATTATTGCTTATCAAAATAAAAGTAAAATTCATTTACCACACCTCTTTTGAATAGAGCAGTATTTCCAAAACCTTTTAAAGTTCAAATTTAATTTGTCATTGAATAGACTAAACACATACAATAATAACCAAAAGATCAATCTTGAAACTCAATACCTTGATTAACTAAAATAAAGGTCTCTAAAAATGCAGCATATTATGACCAATACAACAAGAATAAAAGAACTCCAGTTCTATTATGTTATCACTGAAGAATGGAACCATTACCATTCATCTGAAGTTAGACACCTGAAAGGAACCAAGACAGAAGAAACACATCAAAGACCCAGTGAAGCATGACTTCAAAAGGTACAGCACAGATGTGAGCTTCTGGGAAGCAGCCTGCTCCCATGCCAGAGCTCAAACACAGGGCTGGCTGTTCACTTTCAAACCAGGAGAATCTATGAACAGTATCACCACAAATTGTTTTGATAATAAACTTCCACAAATTTACCTGGCAAAGGCTTCCTTTTTATTAATAAAAATAAGTAGGCATCCATACCATGTGTAGTTAAGATCATGGATGTCAGAGTCAGTCTGCCTGGGTTCACCAGCTTGAGTATTTACTAACTATGTGATTTTGGGCAAGTTATTTAATCATGCTGGATCTTGATTTTTTTCAGAGTTAATATAAGTATTAAATGCAATTATATGTTTTAAACATTAAAACAGTGCCTGGCAGAGAGTATGTCCTATTATGACTTGAAAATAACTAAGAGTTTTTATGATCCCTGTTTCATGAAATCTGGGTATTAAACAGCTAATTCAATTTCAACAAAACATGCATACATACATACATGCATACACACAGTGTGTATGTGTAGGTATACGCAAAATGAAAATATCATATTTTAAAAGTAATAAACAGTACTGTGAGGCATTTTTATTAATGAAGATAAATATATTTGTTTTCTCTTGGCTATTTTTCATCCTATAATTATCACAGAGGAAACCTGGGGTTAAGAGTTCAATTCTAGTTTTCAAATTGTCCTGCAGCTCAATTACAGCTAATAAACACATTCACAGACTAAATGTAATGGCCTTGGGTACAAAGCATGTTAAAAAATAAGTATCCTCTGGAGGTTGCAGTGAGCTGAGATTGGGCCACTGCATTCCAGCCTGGGCAATAGAGTGAGACTCTGTCTCAGGAAAAAAAAAAGTATCCTCAGATGTTTTTACTATGATTATTAATATCCAAGAACTGGTTAATCCCAAAGACTGTATGTACTTGTAAATAAAAGTGAATCAGGGATAACTTACCTTTAAAGTGGAAAATATTTTATGAAAACCATGGTTTTCTAGAAAATCTATCTAGGATGTGGTATTTAACAAATAGTTTTCAGTGTTCTACTTATTTTACACATCACATATGTGTTAGTTTTCATAAAAACTCCAGTACGTTAAGATTTTTTTAAGACTTGCTTAAACTTATCTCCTGGTATAAAGAGGTATTTGAAGTCACCATTTAAACAAGCTTTGGATCATTCATTTTACTCCAAAGATTTAAAAGGAATTCTTGCTTTATACTAAAGTATATTAGGAAATATAACGTAAAGTTAAAATTAATATTACAAATAAAACAAAACATGTAAAAAATAATTTGTGCTTCAGGCTACTTGTCCAAGCACCCTGGGGTGTGTGTGCACTCTCCCTTCCCATCTGTACTGTAACGGAACTCCTGAGTGTATCATCAGCATCTCTGTCTTCTCACTTCCTAACCAGCCCTGGTTTCCACTGGGGATCCATGTTATTATTATCATAACGTCCTTCCACTTGTCCAGCAGTCAGTCCCTTTAAGTAGCTCCCTAAGGAAGATTTCTCCTAAAGTAAGATTAGAATGTACACAAAGAAATATTACTGAAAACCACTTTATTCACAGATATTTTCATTTTCATTATTACCAGATTAACTATCATCAATAGAAAAAATTTACTGGGGGAGGAGCCAAGATGGCCGAATAGGAACAGCTCCGGTCTACAGCTCCCAGCGTGAGCAACGCAGAAGACGGGTGATTTCTGCATTTCCATCTGAGGTACCGGGTTCATCTCAATAGGGAGTGCCAGTGGGCGCAGATCAGTGGGTGCGCGCACCGTGTGCGAGCCGAAGCAGGGTGAGGCATTGCCTCACTCGGGAAGCGCAAGGGGTCAGCGAGTTCCCTTTCCTAGTCAAAGAAAGGGGTGACGGATGGCACCTGGAAAATCGGGTCACTCCCACCCAAATACTGCGCTTTTCCGACCGGCTTAAAAAACAGCGCAGCACGAGATTATATCCCACACCTGGCTCGGAGGGTCCTACGCCCATGGAGTCTCCCTGATTGCTAGCACAGCAGTCTGAGATCAAACTGCAAGGCGGCAGCGAGGCTGGGGGAGGGGCGCCCGCCATTGCCCAGGCTTGCTTAGGTAAACAAAGCAGCCAGGAAGCTCGAACTGGGTGGAGCCCACACAGCTCAAGGAGGCCTGCCTGCCTCTGTAGGCTCCACCTCTGGGGGCAGGGCACAGACAAACAAAAAGACAGCAGTAACCTCTGCAGACTTAAATGTCCCTGTCAGACAGCTTTGAAGAGAGCAGTGGTTCTCCCAGCACGCAGCTGGAGATCTGAGAACGGGCAGACTGCCTCCTCAAGTGGGTCCCTGACCCCTGACACCCGAACAGCCTAACTGGGAGGCACCCCCTAGCAGGGGCACACTGACACCTCACACGGCAGGGTACTCCAACAGACCTGCAGCTGAGGGTCCTGTCTGTTAGAAGGAAAACTAACAAACAGAAAGGACATCCACACCAAAAACCCATCTGTACATCACCATCATCAAAGACCAAAAGGAGATAAAACCACAAAGATGGGGAAAAAACAGAACAGAAAAACTGGAAACTCCAAAAAGCAGAGCGCCTCTCCTCCTCCAAAGGAACGCAGTTCCTCACCAGCAACGGAACAAAGCTGGACGGAGAACGACTTTGACAAGTTGAGAGAAGAAGGCTTCAGACGATCAAATTACTCTGAGCTACGGGAGGACATTCAAACCAAAGACAAAGAAGTTGAAAACTTTGAAAAAAATTTAGAAGAATGTATAACTACAATAACCAATACAAAGAAGTGCTTAAAGGAGCTGATGGAGCTGAAAACCAAGGCTCGAGAACTACGTGAAGAATGCAGAAGCCTCAGGAGCCGATGCGATCAACTGGAAGAAAGGGTATCAGCAATGGAAGGTGAAATGAATGAAATGAAGCGAGAAGGGAAGTTTAGAGAAAAAAAGAATAAAAAGAAATGAGCAAAGCCTCCAAGAAATATGGGACTATGTGAAAAGACCAAATCTACATCTGATTGGTGTACCTGAAAGTGACGCGGAGAATGGAACCAAGTTGAAAAACACTCTGCAGGATATTATCTAGGAGAACTTCCCCAATCTAACAAGGCAGGCCAACGTTCAGATTCAGGAAATACAGAGAACGCCACAAAGATACTCCTCGAGAAGAGCAACTCCAAGACACATAATTGTCAGATTCACCAAAGTTGAAATGAAGGAAAAAATGTTAAGGGCAGCCAGAGAGAAAGGTCGGGTTACCCACAAAGGGAAGCCCATCAGACTAACACCTGATCTCTCAGCAGAAACTCTACAAGCCAGAAGGGAGTGGGGGCCAATATTCAACATTCTTAAAGAAAAGAATGTTCAACACAGAATTTCATATCCAGCCAAACTAAGCTTCATAAGTGAAGGAGAAATAAAATACTTTACAAACAAGCAAATGCTGAGAGATTTTTGTCACCACCAGGCCTGCCCTAAAAGAGCTCCTGAAGGAAGCACTAAACATGGAAAGGAACAACCGGTACCAGCCACTGCAAAATCATGCCAAAATGTAAAGACCATTGAGACTAGGAAGAAACTGCATCAACTAACGAGCAAAATAACCAGCTAACATCATAATGACAGGATCAAATTCACACATCACAATATTAACTTTAAATGTAAATGGACTAAATGCTCCAATTAAAAGACATAGACTGGCAAATTGGATAAAGAGTCAAGACCCATCAGTGTGCTGCATTCAGGAAACCCATCTCACGTGCAGAGACACACATAGGCTCAAAATAAAAGGATGGAGGAAGATCTACCAAGCAAATAGAAAACAAAAAAAGGCAGGGGTTGCAATCCTAGTCTCTGATAAAACAGACTTTAAACCAACAAAGATCAAAAAAGACAAAGAAGGCCATTACATAATGGTAAAGGGATCAATTCAACAAGAAGAGTTAACTATCCTAAATATATATGCACCCAATACAGGAGCACCCAGATTCATAAAGCAAGTCCTGAGTGACCTACAAAGAGACTTAGACCCCCACACATTAATAATGGGAGATTTTAACACCCCACTGTCAACATTAGACAGATCAACGAGACAGAAAGTCAACAAGGATACCCAGGAATTGAACTCAGCTCTGCACCAAGCAGACCTAATAGACATCTACAGAACTCTCCACCCCAAATCAACAGAATATACATTTTTTTCAGCACCACACCACACCTATTCCAAAATTGACCACATACTTGGAAGTAAAGCTCTCCTCAGCAAATGTAAAAGAACACAAATTATAACAAACTATCTCTCAGACCACAGTGCAATCAAACTAGAACTCAGGATTAAGAATCTCACTCAAAACCGCTCAACTACATGGAAACTGAACAACCTGCTCCTGAATGACTACTGGGTACATAACGAAATGAAGGCAGAAATAAAGATGTTCTTTGAAACCAATGAGAACAAAGACACAACATACCAGAATCTCTGGGACGCATTCAAAGCAGTGTGTAGAGAGAAATTTATAGCACTAAATGCCCACAAGAGAAAGCAGGAAAGATCCAAAATTGACACCCTAACATCACAATTAAAAGAACTAGAAAAGCAAGACCAAACACATTCAAAAGCTAGCAGAAGGCAAGAAATAACTAAAATCAGAGCAGAACTGAAGGAAATAGAGACACAAAAAACCCTTCAAAAAATTAATGAATCCAGGAGCTGGTTTTTTGAAAGGATCAACAAAATTGATAGACCGCTAGTAAGACTAATAAAGAAAAAAAGAGAGAAGAATCAAATAGACACAATAAAAAATGATAAAGGGGATATCACCACCGATCCAACAGAAATACAAACTACCATCAGAGAATACTACAAACACCTCTACGCAAATAAACTAGAAAATCTAGAAGAAATGGATAAATTCCTCAACACATACACTCTCCCAAGACTAAACCAGGAAGAAGTTGAATCTCTGAATAGACCAATAACAGGAGCTGAAATTGTGGCAATAATCAATAGCTTACCAACCAAAAAGAGTCCAGGACCAGATGGATTCACAGCCGAATTCTACCAGAGGTACAAGGAGGAACTGGTACCATTCCTTCTGAAACTATTCCAATCAATAGAAAAAGAGGGAATCCTCCCTAACTCATTTTATGAGTCCAGCATCATTCTGATACCAAAGCCTGGCAGAGACACAACCAAAAAAGAGAATATTAGACCAATATCCTTGATGAACATTGATGCAAAAATCCTCAATAAAATACTGGCAAAACGAATCCAGCAGCACATCAAAAAGCTTATCCACCATGATTAAGTGGGCTTCATCCCTGGGATGCAAGACTGGTTCAATATACGCAAATCAATACATGTAATCCAGCATATAAACAGAGCCAAAGACAAAAACCACATGATTATCTCAATAGATGCAGAAAAAGCCTTTGACAAAATTCAACAACCCTTCATGCTAAAAACTCTCAACAAATTAGGTATTGATGGGACATATTTCAAAATAATAAGAGCTATCTATGACAAACCCACAGACAATATCATACTCAATGGGCAAAAACTGGAAGCATTCCCTTTGAAAACTGGCACAAGACAGGGATGCCCTCTCTCACCACTCCTATTCAACATGGTGTTGGAAGTTCTGGCCAGGGCAATTAGGCAGGAGAAGGAAATAAAGGGTATTCAATTAGGAAAAGAGGAAGTCAAATTGTCCCTCTTTGCAGATGACATGATTGTATATCTAGAAAACCCCACTGTCTCAGCCCAAAATCTCCTTAAGCTGATAAGCAACTTCAGCAAAGTCTCAGGATACAAAATCAATGTACAAAAATCACAAGCATTCTTATACACCAACAACAGACAAACAGAGAGCCAAATCATGAGAGAACTCCCATTCACAATTGCTTCAAAGACAATAAAATACCCAGGAATCCAACTTCCAAGGGATGTGAAGGACCTCTTCAAGGAGAACTACAAACCACTGCTCAACGAAATAAGAGGATACAAACAAATGGAAGAACATTCCATTCTCATGGGTAGGAAGAATCAATATCGTGAAAATGGCCATACTGCCCAAGGTAATTTACAGATTCAGTGCCATCCTCATCAAGCTACCAATGCCTTTCTTCACAGAAATGGAAAAAAACTACTTTAAAGTTCATATGGAACCAAAAAAGAGCCCACATCGCCAAGTCAATCCTAAGCCAAAAGAACAAAGCTGGAGGCATCACGCTACCTGACTTCAAACTATACTACAAGGCTACAGTAACCAAAACAGCATGGTACTGGTACCAAAACAGAGATATAGATCAATGGAACAGAACAGAGCCCTCAGAAATAACGCCGCATATCTACAACTATCTGATCTTTGACAAACCTGAGAAAAACAAGCAATGGGGAAAGGATTCCCTATTTAATAAACGGTGCTGGGAAAACTGGCTAGCCATATGTAGAAAGCTGAAACTGGATCCCTTCCTTACACCTTATACAAAAATCAATTCAAGATGGATTAAAGATTTAAACGTCAGACCTAAAACCATAAAAACCCTAGAAGAAAACCTAGGCAATACCATTCAGGACATAGGCATGGGCAAGGACTTCATGTCTAAAACACCAAAAGGAATGGCAACAGAAGACAAAATTGACAAATGGGATCTAATTAAAATAAAGAGCTTCTGTACAGCAAAAGAAACTACCATCAGAGTGAACAGGCAACCTACAAAATGGGAGAAAATCTTCGCAACCTACTCATCTGACAAAGGGCTAATATCCAGAATCTACAATGAACTCAAACAAATTTACAAGAAAAAAACAAACAATCCCATCAAAAAGTGGGCAAAGGATATGAACAGACACTTCTCAAAAGAAGACATTTATGCAGCCAAAAAACACATGAAAAAATGCTCATCATCACTGGCCATCAGAGAAATGCAAATCAAAACCACAATGAGATACCATCTCACACCAGTTAGAATGGCAATCATTAAAAAGTCAGGAAACAACAGGTGCTGGAGAGGATGTGGAGAAATAGAACACTTTTACACTGTTGGTGGGACTGTAAACTAGTTCAACCATTGTGGAAGTCAGTGTGGCGATTCCTCAGGGATCTAGAACTAGAATACCATTTGACCCAGCCATCCCATTACTGGGTATATACCCAAAGGACTATAAATCATGCTGCTATAAAGACACATGCACATGTATGTTTATTGCGTCACTATTCACAATAGCAAAGACTTGGAACCAACCCAAATGTCCAACAATGACAGACTGGATTAAGAAAATGTGGCACATATACACCATGGAATACTATGCAGCCATAAAAAATGATGAGTTCATGTCCTTTGTAGGGACATGGATGAAATTGGAAATCATCATTCTCAGTAAACTATCACAAGAACAAAAAACCAAACACCGCACATTCTCACTCATAGGTGGGAATTGAACAATGAGATCACATGGACACAGGAAGGGGAACATCACACTCTGGGGACTGTTGTGGGGTGGGGGGAGGGGGGAGGGATAGCATTGGGAGATATATCTAATGCTAGATGACGAGTTAGTGGGTGCAGCGCACCAGCATGGCACATGTATACATATGTAACTAACCTGCACAATGTGCACATGTACCCTAAAACTTAAAGTATAATAATAAAAGAAAAAATTTATTTAGATAACTCCTAAATGGCTGGAAATCTTACATTTGAATACAAATTAGTGTAGTCTTAGAAAACAGAATCTTTAAATTGTAGAGTTTTACAAAACTTATACTTAATAAATATTTTCAATTTAAATTTGAATCTAAAAATATATTATTGTATCTTTCACACCACATTTGGTTGTTACCAAAGAGACTGTCACTGCAGTGTAAAAAGTTTTGCCAACTGATATAATTTATTGCGATCCTGAACACTTGTTAAGCTTATTACAGGGTCATTCAATTTTAAAAATGGATTCCTTTAAGAAAATTTCAGACAAAATGCTAGCATATATAGAGAACTACTTTGTAGCTGAAGACTGTGTGCACACTGTTGCCAAAAAACAGTCAACAAATCATCATATCTTATATTTTAAAAAATTCTCTTAAAGCCAGGCATGGTGGTACACGTTTGTAATCCCAGCTACTCGGAAGGCTAAGACAGGAGGATCCCTTGAGCTCGAGAGTTCAAGCCAGCCTGGGCTACTTAACCCCACCTTTGAAAATGTTCTTTAATTAAAAATAAATCAGTAAATATTAATTTATTTTAAATTGCTGTAAAGATAACCCACACTATTCTTTGGAAAATTTTAACACCTTATAGAAAGATCTTTACACCTTTCTATACAACCAAAGATAACTCCTATAACCACTAAAATCTGCATTTCTTCCTAAAAGAGCCCAGAAGCTGCATAAATTAATGGTTGTCAAATGCCCTGTCAAAGTGAAAAGACTACTCCCTATCTTTGAAGGATATTTTCAAAATTTAAAAAAAAAAAAAACAAAGAAACACAAACTGCAGATATCTCTGAAGTTTTAATGACAACCTCATTCTTAAGAACTATTTGGTTCAAGAAGTAGGAAAGAACTTATTAAATATATTTATTTATTGTTATTAAAATACCTAAAGTAGGCACTGCCATTTCCATTTCAGAGTAAGATATGGAAGAGCTGCTACTGTTGAGTGCTGGTGATGCTGAACTTTCTGTACTGGATAATCAGTGATCCAGAAAGTGTAAAACACTCCCATCCTGGTGAACCGTTTTATTGGTTCCAGTTCATAAGGTTCTAAACTACACCAATCCTCAATCTCCTAGAGAAACAGGAGTTTAATGTCTTTGAATGGGTTTAATATCAATCAGTTTATTCACTGCCTATGTCAAAGTTGTAGAGAAGGCTTCCCAGAAAAAATCTTGAAGAGTTTGGAAGGAAAAAAAAAATCCTTCCTTGGCTTTTCAAAATTAAGGGGAGGTGGAGAGGAAAAAGAAGGGTTTTCAAGTATGCAAAGCTGGAGGAGGAGGGAAAAAGTAAGACAAAACATTCAAAGGATAAGGAAGAAAATGGGACAGTATAAGAGATGGCAGGAAGATAAGGAAGATAAGCATATCACGAAAGAACTAATGGAAGTGATCTGTACCCTCAAACAACTCTACACTTGTAAAGCTCTTGCAGAAGCCTTGGCTTCCAACTTGTCCTAAATCTCAGTGGCTTCCTACAGGCAACTGCCTCAGGATGATCACCTGCTGATACTCACCGCAGACAGGCAGAACTGTGCCTTCTACAGCCTTGGAAAGCAGCTCAAGCCAACAATATGTAAGTCCTCAGGTATAATGGGAAATGACTGGCAATGTTCAGACATTTGCATATTTCAAGCAGAATAATACATCTAATCCGTTTAAGATAATTTAAACATATTTTAAAACTACAATTAATCAACAAAACCAAACATCACACTACGTATGGGTAGCTCTCAAGTACACCTGCATACAATGAAGCATTTATTTTCTCAAGTTTCAAGAACAACAAAAAATGCCTAATCTCATGTATCAGGATTACCTGGTACCTGTACTTGTAATACCCTAATATGTGTAATACCCAAGTATGCATAGATCAGTTCATTCACTCCTAATTCACTCACTACCTCACACACCCACGAAATATTTATCCTTTGCCTATGTGCTAAGAACAATTCTGGGTCTATAATATGCTCTGGTGTGGAAAGAAAACAAATAACCCAGTTGTATTATCATCCTTTCAAAATTCTATAAGGAACACAGCCAACAACAGCATTGAACTTAGGCAGGGGAAGGAGGTGTTGGGGGCTGATGGGAACATCAGGAAAGATTTGGCTAAGAATGTTACCTCTGAAGTCAAATCTGAAGCATGAGAAAACAATCAGTTGGCCAAGGGAAGATGAGTAAGAGAACACTGAGATCTAATAACAAGCATTTCATGAGAGATAATAAAATAAAAGGAGCTTAATGAATCAGGAAAAGAAAAAAGTGTGGAAAACAAGTAGTGGCCAGATAATGGGGTTACTTTATGGGTCTTGTTAAGGATATTGGTCTTTACCCTAAGAATAATGAAAGGCTATTGAAGGTCAAATGAAAAATGGTAATTGCTAATATTTACTGATTATCTACTATGTGCCAGTGACTATGGTAGGCACTTTGTATTAATTAATCTTTTTAATACTAACAACCCTATGAGGTAGGTACTTATTTATACCTGCATTTTTTTTTTTTTTTTTTTGAGAAAGAGTCTCTGCCTCTCTCATCCAGGATGGAGTGCAGTGGCACTATCACAGCTCACTGTAGACTCGAACTTGTGGGTTCAAGTGATCCTTCCACCTCAGCCTCCCGAGTAAATGAGAATACAGGCATGTGCCACCAGGCATGGCTAATTTTTGTTTTAATATTTTGTAGAGACAGTCTGACTATGTTGCCCAGGCTGGTCTCGAACTCCTGACCTCAAGGGATCCCCCCGCCCCAGCCTCATGGGCCACCGTTCCCGGCCTATCCCTGCATTTTAAAGATAAGGAAACAACTCACAGACATGACCTGCTCAAGTGCAGAGTTGGGATTTCTTTGACCCATGCAGCGTGACTTTAGCATTTATGTTCCCAATACACTGCACTACCTTTCCTTATTTTTATTTTTTTTGAGACGGAGCATTACTCTGTTGCCCAGGCTGTAGTGCAGTGGCACGACATCAGCTCACTGCAACCTCTGCTTCCTGAGTTCAAGGAATTCTCCTGCCTCAGCCTCCTGAGTAGCTGGGATTACAGGCGTACACCACCAGGTCTGGCTGATTTTTGTATTTTTAGTAGAGACGGTGTTTTACCATGTTTGGCCAAGCTGGTCTTGAATTCCTGACCTCAAGTGATCCGCCCACCTCAGCCTCCCAAAGTCCTGGGATTACAGGCATGAGCGACCATGCTCGGCTGCTACACTACCTTTCTACATGAGACCAATCTGATCAAACATGTAAAATCAGCTGCCCCATGGTACAAATAAACTTTCCTCTATTAACCACTGGGGACTCTAGTTAACTTCAGTAATAATAGTGTCAGGAGTAAATAATAAACAGTAATACATCACTTAATGGCAGAAATAGGTTCTGAGAAATGTCATTATTTCCTTACATGAACACCATAGAGTGTACTTACACAAACTTAAATGGTATAGCCTATTGCTCCCAGGCTACAAACCTGTACACCATTTCTCTGTACTAAATACTGTAGGCCAGCGGTTCTCAACCTTTTTGGCACTAGGGACCAGTTTCATGGAAGACAGTTTTCCCATAGACCAGGGTGGGAGTGTAGGGGGATGGTTTGGGGATGATTCAAGTGTATTACATTTATTGTGCACTTTATTATTATTAATATTACATTGTAATACATAATGAAATAATTATACAACTCACCATGATGTAGAATCAGTGGGAGCCCTGAGCTTGTTTTCCTGCAACTAGACAATCCCACCTGGGAGTGATGGGAGACAGTGACAGATTATCAGGTAGTATATTCTCATAAGAAGCTCACAACCCAGATCCCTCATATGTGCTGTTCACAGTAGGGTTCGCAATCCTATGAGAATCAATTGCCACAGCTTATCTGACAGGAGACAGAGCTCAGGCAGTAATGTGAGTGATGGGAAGTGGCTATAAATACAGGTGAAGCTTAGCTAGCTTCCCTGCTGTTCATCTCCTGCTGTGTGGTCCCGTTCCTTACAGGCCCCAGACTGGGGGCTGGGGATCCCTGCTGTAGGCAACTATAACATAATGGTATTTGTGTATTTTAACATATCTAAACATACAAAAGGTACAGTAAAAATAAATATAAAGGCAAAACTGTACCATAAAAAATGGTACACTTGTACAGGGCACTTACCATGAATGGAGCTTACAGGACTGAAAGTTTCTCTGGGTGAGTGGTACATGAATGAGGAATCCTACGACATTACTGTACACTAATGCAGACTTTATAAACATTGTATACTTAGGTTTAACTAATCTATGTTATAAATATTTTTCTTTAATAATTAACCTTAGCTCACTATAACTTTTTTACTTCATAATTTTGTAACTTTCTGACACTTTTGCAGGAACATTTAGCTTAAAACACAAACACATTGTACAGCTATACAAAAATATTTTTTCATTATATCCTTATTCTATAAGCTTTCTTCTACGTTTTTTTTTTTTTTTTTTACTTTTTAAACTTTCTTGTTAAAAACGAGGACACACACACATTAGCCTAGGCCTACACAGGGTCAGGATCACCAATGTCACTGTCTTTCCCCTCCATATCCTGTCCCACTAGAAGGTCTTCAGGGGCAATAACACACATAGAGCTGTCATCTCCTATGGTAACAATGTCTTCTTCTGGAATGCCTCCTAAAGGACCTGCCTGAGGCTTTTTTACAGTTAACCTTTTCTTTTTTATAATTAGTAGGAGTACATTCCAAAATAATGACAAAAAGTGGAATCAATACATAAACCTGTAACATAGTCATTTATTATCAAGAATTATGATAAACTGTACATAATTGTCATTGTGCTATACTTTTGTATGATTGGCAGCACAGGTTTGTTTACACCAGCATCACCATGAACAGGTGAGTAACGTGTCGTGCTATGGCGTTACGATGGCTACAGTGTCACTAGGCAGCAACAGGAATTTTTCAGCAACATCCTTATGGGACCACTGTCACACATGTGGGTCTCAATGACCAAAACGTCATTATATTGCACATGACTGTATTTCCTTCCAGTGGTAAATCAAAAAAAGTAATACATGATTATTTTATGAATTTTATTAACATCCACCTCTACTATTTCAGATATATGGTAGTATCTAGAAGTAAGTTTTCCCAAAGGCAACCCCAGTAATAGCAATGCTTGAAGGAGTTTAAAAGGGGTGAGAGAGGAACAATCTAAAATTATATGCTACATGGAATCAAATCTCATCTATGATGCCACTTAACGAAAACCAGTGATTCAAAAATATTTTAAATATTGAAATTTTAAAATAGTTTTGACAAAATATGAATCACTTATTTATCTAACAGAATTATATTTATAAATACAAAGTATAGCAAAGTGTATAAATGTGAACACATATATGAATAGAATTCTATAATCACATATCGTGTTAAAACATTAACTTTTCTGAATGTCTTAAGTCAAAAATATCCCATATTAACATTTCTAATGTTTTTTCTAAATTTTGAATTTTCCCTTTTGAAGCTGTCCAAAAAATAGTTTATTATTTATCTCTAAGAAAATTTACTGTAACAAACATATGCAAGAGTTATTTAATATAAACATACTTTCTATGATGACCTAAATATATTACTTATCAGAACTAGCTGATAACTATCATGAAAACTCCATGTCATATACTTACATAATAAGTCTCATTTCTAATATTTTTAAATTCAGAATAATTATTTTTTCTCAAACTCTTCCTACAAAAGATAGATGCACTGAATTTTATCTAAATAAAACTGCCTACTGCTCAAAGAGAAGCTTCCAAGCTACTGTTTATCCTTCCCAAATTTAGAAATGCGTTACAAATCTTCTGCACTATTTTTCAAGCCAATCACTGTAAAATATAATAAACTACATCTCTCATGTCACATAATCCTGACCTTGGGGATTATAACAGGTATCATCCCTCCTTTTCCCTTAGCACCTTGGACTTCCTTACTAGAGCACTTCATTCTTTAGGAAAGGCTGTTTCCTTTCCTCTCCATTTCTATGCACTCTTAATTCTGTGAGGATCAGCACTGTGCTCCTTTTATCTACCGGTGTGCATCCAGCACCTAGCACAGTGCCCATGAAGCCCCTACTAAGGACCCAATAAATAACTGTTGAAGGCCAGGTGCCATGGCTCATGCCTATAATCCTGGCACCTTGGGAGGCTGAGGTGACAAGATCGCTTGAGCCCAGGAGTTCAAGACCAGTCAGGGCAATGTAGCAAAACCCTGTTTCTACAAAAATCATCCAGGCATAGTGGCGTGTGCCTGTAATCCCAGCTACTCAGGAGGCTGAGGTGGGAGGATCTGTTAGCTCAGGAGGTCGAAGCTGCAGTGTCCCAAAAAAAAAAAAAAAAGGAAAATAAAATCATTGTTGAAAGAATTTCCTAAGAGCAACATCATAAAGAAATTATGCCCTATTGGAATAAATTGAGAGAGAAAGCTTAAAGAAAAGGATAAAAGCACGCCTCCCTGTGAAAACTAAATTCCTCAGGAATTCTACTTGCACTTCTTTAACTCACAGAAGCATAAACTTAAGGTACAGTCAGGGTGTGGTATGTGAGGTCAGATATTTAATCTACAGTTAATCCAGCTCTACTTTTACTAAATCATGAATCATAAACTTTCAACACCTTTTTCATTATACCACACCTATTTTCTACTTGGCAAGAATGCATTATCTTTTTTTTTTTTTAATGACTTCTCTCACACACACACCCTAAGCATAAAAACTTGACACCTAAATATCACTACTCAGAATAGAAGGGCCTTCTTTTAAAAGCATACATATTTTTAAATGATTAGCTCTTTATTTTTTAAACTATGTTCCAGGAAACCCTAGTGCAGTGGTTCTCACATGTATCAGAATCATCTGGAAGGCTTGTTAAAACACAGACATCTAGGCCCTACCATCAGATCTAATTCAATAGGTTTGGGGTGGGGTCCAGATTGATGGTGATGCTCATAGTGCTGGGACCTCACTTTGAGGATGAGAGTCCAAGGGTGCTTGTTAATAGATGTTCTCTAAGGGAAAAAAAATATCCATTCTCAAATAATTCTGGAAAATGCTGCATATTCTATATGCCCTCTTAACATTTCAGTATACACATTCACATACTGGAAGCCCTGAAAGTTCTGCAGTAAATTAATATGTTTTATACTGTTTATCAAACAAAATTATTTGACCCTGGAATCCTGTAATCAAAGAGCGGTAATTAACATCTTAATATGCTCTGTAGAATACACTGTGGAAAAATCTACATTGGACTCTTTAAAAGTGTTTTCTTTAAAATATATTTCAGCAGAAAAAATTCTGTTATTGGAAATAACCCAAATTATTACCATGTATGATTCCTGTCCAAATAAAATAAAAGCATCTCAACTTCAGATCAGGCACTGTTCACTCAATCATGTATCTCATTTCTTGCAATGCTACTTTTTATAGTTCTGGGTGTGAGGTAAATATCAAGATCACACAATGTTTTAGTTATTAATCCTATTAATTAGAAACTAGGTATAATTTAACACTATTTTAAATTTGAATTAATGAAAGCCACAAATTCACCTTTATTTGTTCACATTTACGAATAAAATGTGTAAGGCAATGGAATGAAACACTTTACGTATATTCAAGTGAAAACATTTTCTCACACGTGACCTTATCTGCTGTTTACAAACACCTTGTGTGAAACTGATATGGCAGGCATTTTTCTCTCTGTGTTAGCATGAGTTGGTTAACTGAGAAAAGGAAAAGCAAGTGAGTCACCAATTATGGAACTAGGTGATGACATGTCTTTTGACTCACATTCCAGTCATCTCTCCATGACACTGTGCTGCTTCGATGAAAACTTTTATACTCATCCCGTTGATTTTATCTGACAACTTTTCTCTTTCTCCTCCCTTTTAATCACAAAAACTGCATGTGAAAATAAATAAATATTTAAAATCTTTCACATCATAGGATAGACAGATACTTTCAAATACTGCTACATGGGAAGCTAGGCACTGCTGGCTGCCACAAAAACAGCAAGAATGAATCATTAGGAGAAGAAAAAGAAGGGAAAAATGCTGAACAAAGGCATCAGTGAATATTTAATAGAATTTTTTAAAGTAAGCTCTCTAAGGAAAGACATTTTTGTCTGCTCACATGCCTAACTCAGTGTCTGCCAAACTAGAGATATTCCATACTTATTTGTTGAACCTGTATCAAGAGGCAGTAATGTGCAAACAGCACAAAACCATAAATAATATATTTGAGAAATATATAAAGTTTATATACACTTTATATACATATATTTGAGAAACATATTTGAGAAACAGAAATAAAGTTTATATACACTTTTTATAAACAAAGTATATATACACTTTATTTTCAAAGGGTTATTTATTAAAGAGATTTTCAAAAGGCATTACGAACTTTATATAACATAATCATACTGTCTCAAGTCAAAGACAGAGGAACTACTGCTTAAAACTCTAAACTTGCAAAAGGAAGTGCTTTTGCTATTGAAGCCTCAACTAACTCAACCAGAGAGACACAGAGGGGGATGAGGAATGAGGAAAAGGGAACGCTTATTACATAAAATGCCATTTTGGAAACAGTATTCCCCTAATGAGCCAAATTAGATTATATTTCATATTAGGAAAATTACTTCCTTAAAAACCTACAGATTTTTTAGAATTCAGTATTTTTGGCTTATTTTTGTAATTATATCATTTGAAAGTAGTATTATGCTGCAAGTTTTACTCAAATAAATTATTTTAATTAAAGAATTTACATCTGTTTGGCAAAGTTACTATATTTTAATTCCTACATTTTATTGGCAAAACTGTTTCTCTTGGAAAGGTAGGGTTTTTCACTGAAATCGATACGACTAATATAAAACTATTGATTTCAGTTTCAACAATTTAATATTATAAGCATATATTTACCTTTCCTTTTGGGTAAGCAGAATAAAATGTTTCCTAAATTACTAATAACAGGGACTTTAGCAGGGTAGCAATTATGCATGTTTCCATTTTTATTAATGTATAGAACATTCCAGATGTTCCTCTTTGCTTGGTATTCCTGAGATTCTCCCTACCTTAAAAATGGTAAAGTAATTGAATAAAAAAAAAAGTCTTGTAAAAGGAATTTCAACGATTCCACATTTTTTATAAGAAAATCTAAAATCTGCAAGAACAAATTCTCCTCTGAAAATGACTTAAACAAGTGAGAGCAGGGACACAGCAGAAAAGCACAGTGCAAAAGAGAACAAAGGGAGCAGGAAGTGAACCTGGAAGCAGTCCAGCCCGAGTGAGCTTTAAAACATGGTGAAAGAAGACCCCAGTGCTGCAGGTGTGCAAATGACTACATTTGACAGAGAAATAACATCTGCAATATCCCCGAGACCTTTTCTGAACCTTAATATTCTTCACCAGTTATCAACTCTACCGAAAGACCACAGCCGAAGGCTCAAGTAAGATCTCTAGGCAGTCCCTATTTAAGAACTAATGTTTCACTTATGCTTCACATTATCTTTGAAAATCTAATTCTACATTAAGTACCATTCTGTCAATTTATCTATTGACTGGCCCTTATCAAATAAACAAATAAAAATATGAATTAATATTTTTGAGGAAATGATTTTAAAATTTTTTTTTCCACAAATAAAAATAAACCTTTAGATCCTGTTCCAATAACCAATGGCACTGGGGAAAAAGTAATATCTGTAATGCAAAAGCCTAAAATAAAAAAGAAATGTTACCATATGCCTGGCTCCAAAGTTTAGAAAAACAGAAAAAATATCCTTTGTTGTGGTATTTTTAATTCTCTACAAATGTAATGTGTACTTATAAAATTTGTTTTTATTTTCTTATATTAATAAAACTATTTCCATTCAGAAAAATAGACTGCAATGCAATCCATTTTCTTTCCACATTCTGCAAAGCATTTTGATATTTGTATAAAGGCAGTCTGGATTTACCCATTACAATAGTACTCTGTTTTACTCCCCAGAACTATTGCAACCAGGCACTGTCACCCATGTATTTTGTCAATGGTGGTTTAGGAAAATCAAAGGGTCCCAATTCTTGCCAATGAGAAGGCAAGTCTGCCACAAGATTTCTGGGAAAGGTTTTTTCCCATCTTAAAAAAAAAGATGGTACTATTTTGTTTTGTTTTGTTTTGTTTTTACTTTTGAGACAGGGTCTCACTCTATCACCCAGACTGCAGTGCAGTGGCATGATAATAGCTCACTGCAGCCTTGAATTCCTGGGCTCAAGGGATCCTCTCACCTCTGCCTCCTGAGTAGCTGGGACTACAGGTATATGCCACACTGCTCAGCTAATTTTTAAAAATTTTTCGTAAAGATGACCTCTCACTTTCTTGCCCAGGCTGGTCTCAAACTCCTGGGCTCAATAGATCCTCCTGCCTCAGCCTCCTGAGTAGCTGGGATTACAGGCATGAGCTACCACACCCAGTAGTACTATTCTTATAGCTGAAAGTGGTATCTGCTGCTAACAGCCAGAGGATGGGGCCACCACAGAATGTCAGAGACTAGCGATGAACTCCCATCCACAAAAAGAACACTTAACATGAGTCTGGAATGACATTATTGAGCTTCTAGTCTGTATCAATCACCTCTGGCATCAAAACTACATGAACATCCACTTAAAAGAGATTCTAAACGTCCTTCTTTTTCAAGTAAGCTTGTATTGAAATTTTCTGTTTGCATCCAACATTGTTCTACCTAATGCACCAATGTAACAAAATGTCCATTTAAATTAGTTAACTGATCAAGGAGTCCATGTTACAAATTTCAGTAACTACAATTTTGTAAAACACAAAAACTAGACAATAATTTGAACACTATATATAACTTTCATTACATTTTTATTTTATAAAATAAAAATTTACCCAATATAAAAACGTTTTTACTCAAAAGCATACCAAATTTTCCCCATTTTTCCCCAAGATCAATTAAACAGAAATTTTTCTGTGTGAATCAAATCTTTTAAATAAAATTCTTATTTGCCTTATTTCACAAGTAAATGTTTTCATTCTCTCAGACAAAATTAATTCTCTAAATGTCATATAGACAGTAAAAATGAGTTCTCATTTTATAATTTCTTTATTCAAATGAGCTTTTTAGAAAATAACCAGAATGTTTAAAAACAGATCAGTTCAAATAGCATAAGGATACACTACCTTAGTGTCTGCATTTGGGGCTAAACCATGAAGTGGTTCAAGTTTGGAAGCTCCATAAGTGATTAAGATACTTGCTCTGTTCACATGCTCACAGTGCAGTAAATAAATGAGACACTGAAGAGACAAGAACCATATAATAAGTGCTACCACAGAACTGTGTACCAGCACAAAGAAGCATCTGATTAACAGGTGAATTCATGGAGAAGGAAAAAGTTACGGTGGGGAAGGTTTCCTTAGCTTCCTCCTGAATGGATGCATGGGAAAGTGCTGGCAATGATCAGGCTAATTAGAATTAAGTGGTAAATTCGTGCATCAAAACTCAGACAAAAATGTTAGTATCTTTAAATGCTTGAATTAGATCAATTAAACATTTCATTTTACTTCATTATAATTCTGAAAGAAATTTAAACACCAAATAAGGCTTTAAACTCTAAAAACTAAAAGGATAGTGGCTGGGCACGGTGGCTCATGCCTGTAATCCCAGCACTTTGGGAGGCCAAGGCGGGTGGATCGCAAGGTCAGGAGATTGAGACCATCCTGGCTAACACGGTGAAACCCCGTCTCTACTAAAAATACAAAAATTAGCCAGGCGTGGTGGCAGGCACCTGTAGTCCCAGCTACTTGGGAGGCTGAGGCAGGAGAGTGGTGTGAACCAAGGAGACGGAGCTTGCAGTGAGCCAAAATCATGCCACTGCACTGCAGCCTGGGCGACAGAGCGAGACTCCATCTCAAATAAAAAAAAAAAAACCAAAAGGATACTAAAAACTATTCTTCAATCTGTAGGCTGCTCAGACAGGCATATCTAACCTTTTCTCTATTCCATATCTCAGTCAGAAAACAGCCCTGGTAAATATATGTATGGTTACATCTTTGCCTTATAGAGAGGTTAGGCTGTGTGTGCAGTAGAGGGCTTAGTATGCAATCCTGGTTCTTTTTCTTCATAAACTGTGACCATTAATTCCTTCTCCTCTGCTAGTTGTCTCTCAGAATCACTTTCCAGACACTGGCTCCTCCAAAATGAGGGCACAGCTCCCCAAAACATAGATCCGAACACCAGCTTTGCCCCCAGCCTTTTCTCATAACTCATACATATCCACCCACAGAAATGTGGCAGCCCACCAGGAGAGAAGCATGGTAGTGAACCAAGCTAACTTTCTACCACATCCGTTCTCCCACTGACCCCTCAAAAGCAAAGGAGCCCTTCTCTGCCCACTTCCATTCTAGCTTTAACCAAAATTTTGGAAAGCAGTTTTATCTCAGAACTCTTTTACACCTTCTGTCACTCTTTGGTGAGGTTAATTTAGAATATGAAGTGAGAAAGAGCACCTCAAGCTCATTAACAAATGATTTCAATATATTTCAACTAAGCAATTAAAAGAGTTTCTGGTTAACAGGAAAGCTTATAGTGTAGGATACAGTGGCTGCCTGTGGAAATGTTTGCCAAGCATAGATACCAAAAGTTAACTTGAAAAAATTTATTTTTTGACATTAATACTTTTTAACCAGGAGTCAAAAATATAACAATATCTAAGGCACACATTTTAGGAATATCATTTCCCATTCAAATGCAATCATGACTCAAAGCTTAGCTGACAAAAAAGTCACCAATGCAGTGTGGAAAAACACTATTACCCCAAAAAAGCCTTTGTATCCTTCCCATTGGCTTGGCAGATATGAGGTAACCTTGCTATTTCAGAGACTAAGTAGGGGCAAACAGATCGCTCAGATGCCTAAGTCAGAGTGCATTCCTGGAATGCACCCAAAGTAGTCATCTGGGTGCTAAGTCTATGGCAGTGACTTTGAATAAGCCATGCTAGAGACTCTCTTGAAGCCACATCCATTACAGCCCCCTAGTATCACTGATAGGGAGCACCCAGTCCAGGGACTTGAGAGCACATCAAGTCTCATCTTAAGAGAAGGGAGAAGGGAGTTGGCCATCCATCTCCTGTATTTCCTCCTCTCTTCCTCTTCTACCCTATCCATTTTGCTCCTCATTCTTTATTCTCTATTTTGCAATATCCCCCTTTCCTTTCAATTTATTAATTTACCCATCTACCCAACCATCACGAAATATGTCCAATGTGTTGAGAAGCTCTGGACTGTAAACATTCAAGTGGTCTCTGCCTTCTAGGGGCTCATGGTCTAAGTTAAAACTCAGACATAATAAATGTCATGGTCTGAATGTCTATCTCCTCCAAAATTCATGTTGAAATTTGGTTGCCATTGTGGTGGTGTTGGGAGGTGGGACCTTTAGGAGGTGATGGGGCCATAAAGGCTCCATCTTCATTGGTGGGATTAATGCCTTTACAGAAGAGCTTATCTGGCCCCCTTTTGTCTCTTTGCCCATCCACCTTCCACCATGAGATGACACAGCAAGATGGCCCTTGCCAAATCCCAGCATTTTGATCTCAGACTTCTCTCTGCCTCCAGAACTGTGAGAAATAAGTATCTTTTCATTATAAATTTCCCAGTCTCAGGTATTCTGTTATAGCAGAGCAAAACAGACTAAGACTATAAACAATCACCAAAACAGAATAAGTCAATGAGTGTTACCACAGAGCTATGCACAGCACACAGAAAGGGGTGTTTCATTAACCGGGGAGAAAGAGGAGTTGGAAGATTCACTTCACTTACCTGTGAGGTGAATAGACACACAAGACATGAATTTACTGAAATCAAGCCAAATTTTTTAAATACTAGCTATTGGCACACAGTACCATCCAGACTTCAACAAGAAAGCATTTATAAGCCTTATCCTTATTACATGTATAATTAAATCCATCGAATTTAACACTTGTATCTCATTCGCTCCCATATCTCCAGTACCTAATACAATGCCTAACAAATAGGAGGTATTCAATAAATATTTTATCGAATTTAATTCAATGTTTTATGTGTACTGCTGTTTTATTGAACTCTTAATTGATTGGTTTAAGATCCTTAGAGGCAGGAACCATTTCCAACACTATCTTAAGCCAAACCTAACTCTTTTGTATGAATTTTGAGATTAGAGTTTAAGTAAAAAAATTAAAATTTTAAAAAATATTTATAGAATATATGCATATATCATATCTATATATGCTCTAGCTAAATTCTAGCAAAAATTATTTTCTGAGAAAACTTCGCTAATATTATTAAACACTTTTTGTTAGTATTAAACTTCAAGAAATTAAATAAAACTTACCCCTTAAGTGCTTACTAATGCTTACTAGTTACCAAATACATGTTTTCAATTAGTAGGCTGCAACACCTTTTGGCTTTATTTTCACCACAATTTTCTGTGGCAATAAATTTAATTTCAAAAGAAAGTAGCTATAGATTATGGAACCAAGTATAGCTGTGTAACACATAAATAAGTCTCAGCCAGCTTTAAAGCATATTAAAGAGAGTTGTGAAATATATGTGTAAACATGAAATTCTGAAGTGTTAATCCAGTGACACTTAAGTACTGGTTCCAGTTTATAAACAGATTCTTTTAAAGCTTCTAGGCAAAATCTAAGGAACAGCAATGGCATGCCCTGTCACAGCTGGTAAGAGTTAAAGCACACTATGCACTCTAATGATCTCTCTTAGAATCCATTATTCTAATTATTATGAATACCATATTTCTGAAAACTCTAATTTTAGCAACATATGTTATATGGTTGAAGTTAGCGCCAACAGTAGAGAATGAATTGGTTCTCCTTTCTAACCAGTTTAAAATTTACATGTCTTCTAATTCATGAAGTTTTTAGTATAAAGTGTCTACATGATTTTGTGAACACCTGTAAGAACTGAAAATATATCTACACTTCTGACTTCGTTATTTTTATTTTACAATCTGAGTCTACGTACAACTAACTGCTCTTTGAATAAATTCGTATCCTTCAAAGTTCTGATCTCTTTCAAGTCCTCAGAGAAAAGGCTTCTGTTGTTGCAAATCATTACCATATCTTTATGAGAAAAACATGTTTTAATCATACAGTATTATGTAGTTTAAAATACTTATCCATGGAACACTCTGCATAGACCTGGGAATAAACAATGAACAAAGCACACTCCCTGCCCTCCCAGAGTTTACAGTCCCACTGGGAAGACAGGCAAGCAATCCGGTTACTTCAACTGGCAAATTGCTCAGGAATCTTGAGTTATGTAAGGTTCTCCAAAGAAACAAATGTTTTTTGTGGGTGACTTTTACGCCAATGGCTTTTTAGTTCATTTAATAATAACTGATTCTAGGGGGAAGATACACCATGAACTTTGGCATCAGACCATCTGAATTAAAATTTCTGCTCCATACATTCAAGGTCTGGCACCCTAGAAAATTCTTTCTCTCTTCCCTTCCACAGGTACATAATGGGGGTCTTGATGGGCCTCACTGTGTGAGGTACAGGAATAATACACTGAACCTTATGCACTCCCAGGCTTCAAGAATCTTAGTTTTGTAGTTGAGACTGATAATAAATTCAGGCAAATTCAATTCATTCAGCTACTCACTAATTATGACACAAGCTGGATAGGGCTAAGAAGAAAAAGCAGGGGAGAAATCTCAGGATGACAGACTGTTTTAGGAGCTGTTCATTTTGGCAGGAAAGCAGTCCTGTAACTACAACTGAATTAAATGTTTTCAAGCCAACATTTCAAAAAAATATTTCATTAGGTGAATTTTGTTCCACTACGAAGGTACTACCAACTGTGTTCAAATGTACACTACTGGGTGAGCTCCTTGTTAAAAGGTTCATTTCTTACCATTAAGCAGATACTTACATATTCTCACAAAATCCCTGTCAGCATGTACTTGAAAATCTCAAGAGTGTTCAGATTAGAGTGCAAGGTCACAACCAATGTTATATGTGTGAAGGACTGAATAAGGGTCTCAAATCTAGGTCCTCGGGGAGAAGGGAGAAGAACTTGTTTACACACACACAGAGTAAGCAGCTGTTTAAGTGGTGTGACTAGAGGGCTGATGAAAGAACCCCGGGCTAAAAATACTTCCACTGGCTACGCCACAGTGTCTGAATTCCCACACAGCTCCTTCCTGGACACTCCCATCAAAACTCCTGTGAAAATGCACCTGGTATCAGAAAGGGCAGCTCCCTAAACTATTACCAACCAGTAACATTTTAGCTCAAATTAGTTCAGTTCATGAGCTGCTTATATTGGTATCACAGCACTCTGAGAGAATCGGATGCCACAAAGAGAAGTTGTAGCGGTAAGAGTTAATAAAACCCCAAAACTTGGAGCTTTCTCCCTTTAGGAAAAAAGAGGGAGAAATATATTATGGCCCTTGACTCTGAGAGGACTGAGAAAGTTCTAACTATAAATCTGTATGCTCTGACCCAAAGTTAAGCCTATAAGAGAAAAAAAAAAAAATTTTATTTGAGATAGGTTCTCACTCTGTCACCCTGGCTGGAGTGCAGTAGCACAAACGTGGCTCACTGCAGCCTTGATTTCCTGGACTTAAGTGATCCTCCCACCCCAGCCTCCTGAGTAGCTGGGACTACAGGTGCATGCCACCACACCCAATTAATTTTTAAAAATTTTTTTTCTAGAGTTGGGATCTTGCCATATTGCTCAGGCTAGTCTCAGACTCCTAGACTCAAGCAATCCTCCCACCTCAGCCTCCCAAAGTGCTGAGATTACAGGCATGAGCCATCACACCTAGCCTATAAGAGAAAATTAAACAGGCTTGATATTCTTTTCTATACATCCACTAATTCATCTCCCCTCCCCCAAAATCAGTCTAGACTAATAAAACATTTCTTCAAGTGAGGCTACTATGCAGGTTCAATCATGCACAATTATAAGTAATTACATGGGATGAGGAAATCGCTTCATAGTAGAATATTTGCTGAGATACTAAATCTTGACTACAATTCAGGAGCATTTTAAAATAAAATCTGTAGAATTTCTACCAGACTGTGTGCTCCACAAGAGGAGGATTTCTGGCTGTTCTGGTCACTGCTTTAATCTAAGCACCTACAATACTCTCTGGCACATAGTAGGAGCTTGAATAGAGACAGCATAGCATAGAATCTAAGAGCTAAAACTATACCAGCAAGATGCAGCTCTGCCTCAAACCAGTTGTGTAACCCTCAGAAAGATACTTAGCCTCTTTGTACCTCAGCTTCCTTCTGTATAAAATGGGATGATAATAGTACCTATTCTAAATAGTTGTCATTAAACTTAGATGAATTAGATATATAAGATACTTAGTAGAGCCCCTGATACAAACTTAGCAGTATATAACTCTAAGTATTATTTCTTGAATAAATAACATCCTAGAATACTAAACTAAAATAATAAAAGTATAACTAAAAGCACAATTTACCACAGAGGCTTGTATAAAATAGTCCTTTAAAAAAGTAATAAAAAAGAGACAGAATACAAAGAACAGCAGTGCTTTTTTATTACTGAAAAAATAATCCAGAATACTGGCCCTCAAACCTGGGTTAACAATGGAATCCTCTGCAGAGCTTCTGAAAAACTAATGCCTTGACCCCACCTTCAGAGTTTCTGATTTAATTGATTTAATTTTGAAAGTTCCCCAGGTGATCCTACTGTGAGGCACTAGTTAAGAACCACCTCCTTAGAGTGATGGTTTCTGGTTTTTGCCACCTCAACATGAGTTTGAGGCACATAAAACATTCCATCAGAATAAGAAACTCCCATGAAAGTAGTTGGAAAAGGAGAAAAGTGTGGTGCCATCAGAAAAGGTTCTCTTTCTCTGAAGATCCTGATACCTTTTCTTAGGGGAAACCATCGCCCTTCCCACACCCTGACCCTGAAGCATAGGGCAGACACTATCTCTCACCCTCACAGTAATCATGGGAGCAGGAAAAGTTTTAAATATACTTAGCAACCAATTTGACACAGGCACAGGTCCATCAATGATACCAGCTGAATGCAATAGAACAACAGAAGCATATGGCTAATTATCAGTCCCACCTACGAGGGAGACATTAGGAAAATTCCCATTTCGCAGACCAAGAAAAAAAAAAGGAGGCTCTAAGGCTAATACGCCAAAGGCCATGTACCTAGAAAACAGCAGAGCCAGAATCTGAACTCATCAAAGCAGGAAAAGTAGAAATTTCTGAAACTATAAAACTGATATAACGTATTATTTAAAAGTTCAGTTCCCCAAAACAAATTTTCTAGAGATTTTATGGCATATTCTTCTCAGAATTAAACTGCTGTCTTCTATACCAGCCAAGAATTCTCAAAGGACTTTATGGGTATGAAATTACTATTTGCCTCAGTCCATTTATGCTGCTATAACAAAATACCTGAGACTGGATAATCTGTAAACAGAAATTTATTTCTCACAGTTCCGGAAGCTGGGAAGTCTAAGATCAAGGAGCTGGCAGGGTCAAGGGCTGATGAGAGCTGCTCTTGGCTTCAAGATGGAGCCTTGTTTCTGCATCCTCTGGAGGGGAGGAACGATGTGTCCCGCACGTGGCAGAATATCAGAACAAAGTGAATCAAGTCTCTCAAGTCTTTTTCTAAGGGCCCTAATCCCATTCATGAGGATTCTTCCCTCATGACTTAATCACCTCCTAAAGGCCCCACATCTTAATATAATCACATTAATTGAGTTTGAACACATGAATTTTGGGGGCCACATTCAGACCATGGCATTACCTATCTTTACACAAACAGACATATAAGGAAAGAAAATTACTTGTGCCTTTCTTTTCCAAATAAGGTTTTAAGAATAAGAACTGGATGAGCCTGGACCATTTCATTTTCTTCCATAGTACTGCCTTCTAAGTTATGTTACTGTAGCTTCTGTAAAATTCACTTTTTAGAAGATAAACCAAGTAGCAAACAATGCAGTAGCTAGATTTTTTTAATTAAGAAGTATTTCATATATTCATTTTGTATTAATTTCTATAGAAAAATGGCCTTAGCTATTGAAAAATGATGGCAAAATGAAGAATGGTCAATAATGCAGAAATACTAATTTAGATCCGTACTTCACATTTTGTACCAAATTCCAAACAGAGTGAAGAGTTACACTAAAACAGTTTAAATCATATAAATACTAGCATAAGGCCGGGTGCAGTGGCTCATGCCTGTAATCCTAGCACTTTGCAAGGCCCAAGGGGGGATCACGAGGTCAGGAGTTCGAGACCAGCCTGGCCAACATAGTGAAACTCCATCTCTACTAAAAATACAAAAAAGAAAAGAAAAGAAAAGAAAACTAGCCGGGCCTGGTGGCGTGCACCTGCAGTCCCAGGTACTCGGGAGGCTGAAGCAGGAGAATCGCTTGAACCTGGGAGGCAGAGGTTGCAGTCAGCTGAGATCGTGCCACTGCACTCCAGCCTAGTTGACACAGCAAGACTCCATCTCAAAAATAAATAAATAAAAACTCTAGCATAAAACAGAACCATTTTCAGATATATGAAAAGGGATTGTAATGAATCATATGCTTTTAAAACAAAATATAAGTAAAAGAAAGAGAAAACAACAAACCAGGGAAACTACACAAAGCCAAGATAACAGATAAAATGCCAACATCACATAGACTACAGTCTATGAAAAACATATTCATTTTTTAGGATAATATATAAGATCTCTGAAATGACAATTCACACAAAAGTAATAAAAATGTAAACAAGCATCAAAACTGATACAACAGATCACACTAATTGCCAAAAGTGCAGAAAGAGAAAAATTGGGTATAACAGCAATAACCTTATAAAATGTCAGACGCTATGCCATTTTTAAATGTATCATCTTATTTAGTCCTTATAATAACCAAAGTACATAGGCTATGGTATAAATCACACTTTGCAGATCAGGAATCCAATGCTTAGAGTAGGTAAAAGTAACTTTTCCAAGCTAACACATCTAGCCACGTGTGATTCTGGAATCTGAATCCAGTCAGTCTAATTCCAGCACCATGTTATTTACCACAATGTCTACTCAAATTAGCAAAATAAAAAACAATATTGCCAATATTGACTGTACATCACTAATAAGAACGTATGTGGCACGTTGTGAAAGAAATTTGGTAAGATGTTTCCAGAACAAAAAGCATATCCTTTTCCTAGTAATTCCACTTTTAAAACTTTAACTTCAAGAAATAAGTAAAATTAAAGGAGAGTTATTTGCTGGAAAATACATAATTCATAATAGTATACAAAAGCACTGTTTATAACAGTCTAAATATCCATCAACAAGGATATGACCAAAAAATTTTGGTTACATTAAAATGTATAATCATTACAACTATATTGCAACATGGAAAAATGACAAAAAGACACACAATGTGCAAGTGAACAGGTCTAAGGACTATAAAAGAAATAAGGCCAGGCATAGTAGCTCACTCCTGTAATACCAGCACACTGGGAGGCCGAGGCGGGTGGATCACCTGAGGTTAGGAGTTTGAGACCAGCCTGACCAACATGGCGAAACCCCATCTCTACTAAAAATACAAAAAATTAGCCGGGCGTGGTGGCAGGTGCCTGTAATCCCAGCTACTCAGAAGCCTGAGGTAGGAGAATAGCTTGAACCTAGGAGGCAGGGGTTGCAGTGAGCCAAGATGGCGCCATTGCACTCCAGCCTAGGCAACAAGAGCGAAATTCCTTCTCAAAAAAAAAATAAAGGAAAAGAAATAAATGAAAATGCCTCATTAATTTGAGGTGGTAGAGTTAAAATACCTTTTTTAAAATTTAGTTTCCTATTAATCCTGTTATTTTGTGTGGTAAATATATCCTGTGCAAAAAACATAGTTTGAAATTATACAGTACAATAATATATATGAAGTACCCAGTATGTTTTGACACATAGCAAACGTTTAATGGCAGATAAAAATACACCAACATTTATGCATTAGCTATGCATCCAGCACAGTTTTAAGCACTCTTTATGCATTAACTTATTTAATTCTCACAACAATTAAATAAGGGTATTGCATTATAATACTTATATTATCTCTAGTTAACTAATAAGGAAAATGAGGCACAAGAATGGTAAATAATGTGCCTAAGTTCAGCCAACCCATGATTGCAGAACCAGGATGTGTTCCACAACCCACACTCTAACCACCAAGCAATTATTCTCTTTGGCACTCACTGTATGAGCCTGTCAGAAACTTATTACTGAAAAGCAGAAGGAGGATAGGTCAACAATTAGTAAGCATAATGTTTATGTCAGGCAATAACATGTCATGCATTTAGGAAACCTTAGTTTCTGAACCTCAAGTTAAACATCTCTTAAGTTTTCCTTTCCAAGTTATGAATTTATAAAAATGAGAACCTGTTAAAAAATAATTTTGAGATAATATGAATAAAACAAAGTGGTCATAGAGAAACACATTTTTATGAAAACAATTCTTTTTTCATGCTAAAGTGTTATAATCTTTTTAAGTATTTAATCCTGAACAGATCGGATTTGAGTCATTTGCAACCCGTTTTAAATTAATCCTATTTTTCTCAAATATAATCACAACATATTCAAACATCTCCCCTGATCTGATTCCGACTTGTATATACAGCTGCCTACTTGGCAGTCCCACCTGCATATCTCATAGGCATAGCAACTTAAGATGCTCAAAACTAACTCCTGATATTTCCATCTCACATTCTTGTTTTCCCTTGCTTTGATATTGTTTCCTTCTTCCAGTTGTACAGACCAAAAATCCTAGTGTCACCTATGACTCCTCCTTTTCATGCCACATATCCACCAATCCATCAGGACATACAGTCTGAATGTGACCACTTCTCAGCACCCCCACCACTATCACCCCAGTCTAAGCCATCATTTCTCTCTCAACTGGACTACTGAGATAGCCTTTTCACTGCCTCTAACCTGGGACCACTGCAGACTACTCTCAACATAGCGGCTCAACCTATCCTTTTACAACTTAGATGATGTCACATTTCTACTCAAAACTCTTCATCTTGTTTAATTCAGAGAAAATGCCAAGATCGAGCCTGACAACAGCCTGCACGATTCCAGTGATAGGCCCTCCATCTCCCTCTCAGACCTCATCTCTTTCCAGGCTCCCCTCGCCAAACTCTCCCAGCCATGTCACCATTCCTGCTGCTCCTCACATGTCAGGCCAGTCAGGTTTCCACCTAAGTCCTGGCACCTGCTGTTCCTCTACTTCCTTCCCCTAGGAATCCACACAGCTGGTTTCCTCACTATCTTCAGATCTCTCATCGCATCACTTAATCTGAGTGGCCGTTCTCGATTTTTTTAACACCTTCTTTAAAACAGAAGAACCCTCAAGTGTCACATGTCTTTCACCCTGCCTTTTTTTTCCCACAGCTCTTTTATCACCACCTGCCGCTATATATATTTTCTTATTTATTTCATACATTGTCTGTTTCCCTTAATCAAATATAAACTCCATGTGGCCAGTGGTTTTGTAATTTGTCTTCATGACCTAGATCATTTCTGAGCATACATAGGTGCTCTGTAAATATTTGCTTAATTAATAAACCAATTGGTTAATAAAATTAGAACAATGGTTAAAAACCCTATGGAAGATGAAGCCAGAAAAAAAAAAAAAGCTTAAACTATCAAACACCTTATGTTGTCACAATAAGAAAATAAAAATTGTCTTAATTTTGTGTGCATTTTAACTTTTATATGTTGTCCTAGATTTGGTAAATGATGCGGTCTATAAACTGTATTTAAAATAAATTTATTAAAGTTTTGGTCAAATATGCTACTCAATTGTATACGCTGTTATCCTTTCAATTTCTAATGACAAACCAAAAAAATCACTTTCAAAAACCAACTAACCCCCCAATTCTAGCAATTCCACCTGTGAACTCTCTCTCCTGTCCATTCCGTGCTCCCCCTCCCAGGGACTGCCCTCACCCTCTCTCCTCCGTCTCTAGTCTTTTCAACATTTACACATCATTTGCAGGGCTAACAGGGTTATCTTTCTAAAATTAGAGATCTGATTATCTCATTGATATAATGAGATATAAAACCCTGCATAGCTTCCCAGTGCCTACAGAAAAAAGCAAAAGGGTCTCAGTATGGTCTGTCACGCTAGTCTGATCAACTGGGACAGGTGCACATCCCATAATTCCTCCATAAATCACAAAATGTCTACCTTTTTGGAATTCCAGCATCCAAACCAAGTCATGAGCTTTCAAAGCTTTCACTGCTCTACTCATGCTGTTCTTTGTCTTGAATACTCTAACCCCTTTCCATTCCAGGCAAATACCCATTGATTTTTTCAAGGCCAAGTGGATATGTTATATTTTCTCTTAAAACTTCACAAAGCCTCTTAAAACATACTAGGCTGTTGCTCCTTCCCTGCTTCTTCTATAACAGTATGAAGCTTCTCCTCTAACTGACTTTAAATTTTGGAGGACTAGGTACTAAGTGAATTAATCACATAGCACATAGTTAATGCTCAATAAGTGCTTGTTTAATGAATAAGAATATAAAACAATGTCCTCTGGCAAGCAGACCACATAACCTGGAAGAAAAAGTCTTCAAACATTCTCTAGATATTGTTTCTATCATTTCTACAACATAAAATTTTTGAACTATAAAAGTTAAATATTTTCACATTTTCAAGCTGCAAAACGACTTTATGGGGACCCTTTACATCTCAAAACCTATAAATTCTATGAAAAATAAATTTCCACATCGCAGAATATGCTAAAATTATGTTTATATGGAAATACTGGCACGATATTTCAGGAGAAAACTTTTTTTGGCACTCACTCACAGGGAGCAATAAATCATTTCCTTCTGCAAATGAATGTTATTGTGGGTGGGCCTTTCATACAGAGAAAATATTTGGATTCAAAGGTTCCCTCCCTGGCATTTGAGAAAGTTGTCATGACCAAGGTATCGAAGCTTAGCAGTTCTTTAAAACTTAGAACTTAAACTCCGGAATTTTGTACTCAAGCATTTGTATAAGCCTGATTTTTTAAAGGGCCATCAATTCTCTTAATAATCATCCTAGATCAGAGTATAATAATTATATTGAAGTCATTTTATTCACAAATGCAAAGAAATAGTGATTTAAGAAGACTGAATTGCAGCTGATTACAGCTATTCGAGCAAACAGCAGGACTACATTCTTAGTCTTTTGCAGTTAGGTGATGACCTATGCCTCAGCTCTACCTAATGAGATGTGGGCAAAAATACATGCAACTCCTCCAGGCCTGGCCCATGAGAGCCTCCAAAGTGCAAATTCCCTGCTCTTTCTTTGCCTTCAGTAGGTTTCATGCACATAAGTACAATGGAAGCCATACATGAAAGATGGTGGAACCATAAAATGAAATTAGCCTGGGTCCTTGCATTGCTAATCAGCCAGCCAGCTATTGGTCAGAAAACCTGTTCTGGACTTTATGTCAATGAGAAATAAACTTCTATTTCTCCTAACGGTTAATTGAGCACTACACATTTTGAGATACACCTGCTATGCAACATGATATTCTTGTTATCATGACCAAATATAGTCACTGAATCAGAAAATTAATATGAGAACACTAATTCATCATTCTTTATTGTGCTATGTTTTTCTCAGTTCCATTTCACAGGGAATCAAATAAACGTCGTAACTTATAACCAGTACATTTTCTACCCAATCTAACACTGTGTTGTGCACTACACACATACACATGCACACACGCACACATGACTGATGAAGACGCTTGATCCCTTCTTTAAAGAATCATGCCAAACTAATCTAATCAGTATTAACTAACTCTCTAATATGTGCCTGACACTGAGGTAGCCACTCAACACCAAAGGGTGAAAAGGACACAATGCACCACAGCAGGATTTTATACTTGGCTTATTTCTTCTCTGGCTTCAAGAAACACCATTTAGTTTGTCTTTATAGCAGAAAAGACTTAAATATGAAGTGTATTTTGGATGTTTTGAGACCATACTTTTTCATTTAACTTGGCTCTACCTGCCACATAAAATATAAATCAAATTGCATTTGCTTTGTCTGTGTGATGAAATGTTTCATGTAAGCTCACATCCCAATCTTGCTGTATTCTTGTCCTCTGGGCAACAACACAAGTTACTGTAAGTTTCCATTCCCACATCAAATTTACACTTTCTCCCCTTGCACCGATTTTTTAATTCCAGAAAATCATTATATACTCCCCCAAGAAATAGAAACAAAAATGATCTATTCAACCATTGGTAATATGTGGTTACATACATATTTATAGTGTTGTAAGTTGTTTTCAAATTTCCACATATTGCTTAGTATTTTGAGTAGATTAATATGGCACTCACCAAAGACAGGATATAGCCAATAAATGTTAAACCAATTGTAGCACGTCTCTAACAAAAAACAGTAAAAATACTTCGATGGGCTTGAAAGCAAATAATGCCAATATGTGGAATGCTAAGGGAATATGCTCAAAAAGCTGTATTTCTTGAGAGTGGATAGATAGCAACAGCCTACATAATTCTCTCTCCTTGCTCCTTGAGAGTAAATATGAAACAAAAAGGACTGTGCCATTTGGATCTTTGTCAATTGCCAACCCATTTAGGGTCAAAAAAACTGTAAATTCATCTACTGCACTATAGTTTTAGACAACTGTGCAACAACTAAGAGGTGACACTGAACTGTATACTTTCTTTTTTCTAAGAATTCAGATTCTAGAGTGAAATCACAACTGCCATCTAAGGCCTCTCCTCAGGGTAAATGCTGGACTCTACTACTTTTGCCTCAAAACTTGGGATACTGGCAGAGGCCAGATAGATGTTTTGCTTTGTGCAAAAATTTGTTCCCTACGGGAGCAAGCTGTAGAAAGCTAACTGGTATGCTGAATCCTTCAAATTCTTGTCCATTGTTTCTGAAGAGTGAAACAAATGTGTTTTAGAAAAAGGATTGTTTCTCTTTTCTACACTTTGGTGGGGTGGAGCAGTACAATGTACACAAAAGAAAGAGGGAGATAAGTGAATAGGAAAAAAGCACTTAATGAGAATATTTAGTACTAAAGAAGAAAGCAGCTGTAGTGAGTATTTGTTGTGTGTACTCTCTGATCAACAGTTGGCATAATCCTCAGATATCTGAAAGTGATATAATCTGAAGCTTATACATGGAAAAAGGAATTGGCTTCACATTTCGCAGAGTAATAGTAACCTTGTTTCTAACTGACCTTGTGTTCATCTTATTGTGGCTAAACAATTTTGTTTAAATGTAAGAAATAACGGAGTATTCTAAGTACAGCATAGTTTGATGATTAAAAGCATTTTAAAATTATAGTAGTATAAAGGGGATGAAGCAAGAAACTGTTCAATGATAACAATTTTACATGTTCTACCTACATTCAAATACTCAAGCAACAAATATCTATCATGCCCTCCTCATGTGCCTACAGCCCAGTGTGACTCTAAAATTTTGATTAAAATACCATAAAAGTGACCACAAACATGTCAGTGACCAAACACATTTATAAAGGTCCAACCGTAATAATAATCAAAGAACTGTACAATTATTATTATCTTTTTCTTGATACAGAGTCTTGCTCTATCGCCCAGGCTGGAGTGCAGTGGTGCAATCTTGGCTCATTGCAACCTCCAGCTCCCAGGTACAAGCAATTCTCCTGCCTCAGCCTCCCAAGTAGCTGGAACTACAGGCAACCCCCACCACACCCGGCTAATTTTTGTATTTTTAGTAGAGATGGAGTTTCACCATGTTGGCCGAGCTGGTCTCAAACTCCTGACTTTGTGATCCGCCCGCCTTGGCCTCCCAAAGTGCTGGGATTACAGCTGTGAGCCACTGCGCCCAGCCTGTAAAACTTTTTTAATTATTAGTATATTAACAAAAACTTTTGGAAATGTAAGAAAGGCCAATGGCGAAATAAAACAGAAACTTATACCAAGCTAGTGTTGACAAAAATAAGCATAATCCTTTCAGATTCTAGTTTTGAAAGTGCATATCTGGAATCTCATAATGTAGATACTTCTTTGAACCATTAAAATTCACTTCCGGCAACTAGCCTAAAGCAAAACCATAACCATACAAAAAGCTGTATGACCAAAATTGCTCATTTCAGTATTACTTCAAATAAAAAACTGCAACCAAATTAAACATCTCACAGTGTGGGAGTGGCTGAGTAATTTACTGTATTAAGCAGGATCTAACATTCAGTAGCCATTAAAATTAAAATTATGTAATGTTGCTATATTATCAAATAGTAATATAATAATTATGACCAATCTAAAATATGTATAGAGAAAAAGGTATAGACTAAAATACCTAAAAACTACCAGTTGTTTTCTTTAGGTAATGGGGCCATGGGTAATTTTTCTTCTGTCTAATTTTCCATAAATCCCACATTTTGTATATTGAGTATCTAACATCTGTTAATTAGAAAAAAGTATTAAGTATATGAAAGAAAATGCAAAAACATTTAAAATAGCATTCAGAACAAATCTGGTATCCATTTAAGCTTTAAAAGGCTACAAAGTAACAAGTACACATAATAGCAAAATAGAGATTTACAATTTATAAATATTTTAAGTACAATGTTGCACTGGAAAAAAAAAGTTTTCATTATTATTTTAAATGCTGAAGCAGGCCAGCATGGTGGCTCACCCCTGTAATCCCAGAACTTTGTGAGGTCCAGGCAGGTGGATCACTTGAGGCTAGGAGTCTGAGACCACCAGCCTGGCCAACATGGAAAAACCTCGCCTCTACTAAAAGAACAAAAATTGGCCAGGCATGGTGGCAGGCGCCTGTAATCCCAGCTACTTGGGAGGCTGAGGCACAAAAATCTCTTGAACCCGGGAGGAAGAGGTTGCAGTGAGCCAACATTGTGCCACTGCACTCCAGCCTGGGCGACAGAATGAGACTCTGTCTCAATAAAAAGTAAATAGATGCTGAAGCAATATAAAACAAAGCTCAATTAAACATATTGCTGGACCTAGACTGAATTAACTTTCTATTCTCCACAGTTTAAAAAACTTATATTCTCTCCAGTTACAATGTTTCGGGTGTGGCTGAAACATTCAAGTGATTTGCTATAACCATATTTCACTACTTAAAGTTAAAATTATTATTAATTACTAAACATTATCAGTAAATTGATTTACAACAAAAAGTACATTCACCATCTTTCTCACACACCTCTCCCCCAAAACCCAGTTTTTTCATTCAAGAATTAGGACACACAGCTGGTTCTTTGGCTCACACCTGCAATCCCAGCAATTTAGGAAGCCAAGGTGGGCAGATTGCTTGAGCTCAGGAGTTTGGCAGCCTGGACAACATGGTGAAATCCCATCTGTACTAAAAACTGCAAAAATTAGTTGGGCATGGTAGTGGGCATCTGTGGTCCCAGCTACCAGGGAGGCTGAGGTGGGAGGATCGCTTGAGCCTGGGAGGCAGAGATTGCAGTGAGCAGAGATCACACCACTGCACTCCAACATGAGTGACAGAGTGAGACTCTGTCTCTAAAAAAGAATAATTGGGACACAAGCATTTATAATAAAAATTATACCAATTTTTTATATCAAATCTGATTATTTTAATACAGATGTCTTTCATTATAAAATATAATTATTTTAATGCACAAATAACTGGCAACAATCTACTATTTATTATTTATTATGAACTTATTTAATAAAATATCTTTAATAAGAAAAAGAAATCAACTGCTAATAATGTAAAATATAGCATATAGTAATTCAGTCCCCAGATTTGCCAAAAAAACACAAGAAGCTCAGTTAAATTTGAATTTCAAATAAACAGCAAATAATTATTTAAAATAAGTATGTCCCACACACTATTTGGGACAACGCTACGCTAAAAATGATTTGCTATTTATCTGAGATTAAATTTAACCAGATGGCCAGTATTTTATCTGGAAGCAATGAACATAATGAAGGGAGTATTAAAGCACTGAGAGCAGAATTGACTCAGTTATTTACATTTTGACCTATAACACAGTAACACAATAAAAGGGAAAGTAGGGAAGGAATTACTAGCTACTGGTGCAACAGCCTCCTCAGGAACTGCACTCAGCAGCTGACATACCAAATGATCTATTTCATCCTCACCAAAACCATCTGAGATAGGTATTGCTCTCATTTAACTCATTGAGGAAATAGTCTTCAAAAAGCTATCTTCAAAAAATTTAAAGCTGAACTTTAAACTTGTTTAAATAGCAGACTGTTTAGTTTAATAATCTGCTAAAACAATGAGGCAGTTAAAGTGAATCACTGGGCCAAGTATGTATATAATTCTCTTCAAACTCCCAGTTTTGGTGGAAAAGCATGTGAATTCTGGGCCTGACATGCAGAAAACTTACTGTCAAAACTGAATTCACTAAATACTGTAGACTCAGCCTGAGCTGAGTTTTTCATATACCCCATTACAATCAACTTGACACCGTGAGTACAGTATCCCATTTAGATAATAAGAGACTAGCTGTCTTGAATTAAAGCTAAATCGAACCACACTTACAAGTTCTCCCACAAAATGTCTTAACTTGGAAAAATATTTGTTGATATTGCACTGGATTCCAATATATATGGTTTGCTGCTAATATCCAGGTAATGAAAATATCAGACAAATATATTTTAAGGAAATTGGGAGTTTCTAGGTTGCATGGAAAATCTTCTCCTGTAATATTGTTATTACTGGCTACAATTTTCTAGATCCATATTTATTCATTCATTCATTTTCTTCATTCTATATATAACTTTTCAGCTGCTACTATGTGTTAGGATATGGAAATTTCAACATAAAGAATAAAAAGTCTAGGACAAAATATAACTTCATTCCCAGTCTTTGTAGGTTAAAAGCCAGGATTTTGCCAGAATCTCCATCTACATTCACACTGCTTTCCCTCCTTTGACACTATACCCCCTAGTAATTCCCCTATCCCCATCAGAAAAATATAATTATGCTGTGACTTTTCTATTTAAAGCCCATTTGAACTTTTGGGAATAATAATGTAAGTGTAGCTTATAAATACGTTATAAATTCATTTCATTGTAGCTCATAAACACACACCAGTTTGATTAGGGGACAAAAGTCTTCTGAAACAAAGCTGCAGCTCTCTTTTATCTTTAGTCACAAAACACTCTTATTTTCATTACAAAGGAAAAGTCAAGGCTGTTTCTTCACATATTTATAAATTTTGCAAATACACTTCCTTTCAGCAAATGAAATTTTATAAAGACAATGGAATTTAACATCTAAAATGAGCATTTGGTTTAAGATCTTAAAAGGAATCAGATTCCCTGAGTGTCAGTGTAATCTTTTGACCAAAAACAAAGTTAATTAGCTCTTACTGTTCAGTTTACCAATAAAGATAAAATTATATTCTAGCGCTCACTACATGATCCTAAAACTGTTATTTAACTTCTCTGGCCTCCTCTGCTTCTAAATATGGTATATATAGACACTGGCTGAGCTTCTCCAAGCTCCAAAATTCTGTGCTTCTTCAATTACATAATTCTAAGTCTTACTATACTTACAGGCACAAGATGGCTATTTCTTCATTTTATAGATCATAGAAGAACTCTAAAGTAAGTTCTATTAGTTATTACATTACTCCAGAAAAGTGTACATCCTGGCTATTTCTGTCTATAATGAATTCCAGAATTATGTAAACATAAATAGTATTAATATTATACTCTCCATCTGCAGAAAGCTGACGCAGAAGAGGTCCCAAGTGATTTAGTTTGCCTGCAGCCAAGCGAAACATTTCAGAGTCTCACATTTAATCAGAAGAGAAAACTCTAATTGGATCTAACAAAAGGCCGACTGCTTAGGCATACGTGTTACAAAATAGTTTCCACATCACATAAACTACTTTACCAAAAAATAGTTCCCAAAGAAAATGATTTTTACCTGGTGTTCAGTTCAAAGTAAATACTGGATGAATAGGTTTGAACTACACACTTACTTTGAAAAATACCTTCATTACAGCCTGGTAATGGTCCTTGGCAAAAAAAAAAAAAAAAAAAGTATTACAAAGAAAGTTATATGAAAAGTTATTCAAATATCTGTCTGATTTCTCTTTGGTTGTAGGCTCTAACTGGCATGGCCACAACTCTGCCCAGTAAGATAGGTACAGCCATAGTTAAAAACTATTTTCTATTAGAAATCAATAGATATTTAACAATTTTTTTACAAGCTTCACAGTCAAGATTTAACAGATCCTCTTTTCCTACCGCACAATTTCTCAGAATCTTTAATAAACAAGTATTTGTTGTGATTCCCCAAGAGGCAGATATCCCATTTTAAAATGAATAATTTTAAACTTCCTATTCATCAATCCTACAAGATACAGTTTGAAAAGTATGGTTCAAAGGAACTGGGTCAATGTTATCTGTCACTTCTTTATTACTTGTAATATATTATAAAATGTTAATGTGCTAGCTAGGTGTGGTGGCTCACGCCTGTAATCCCAGCACTTTGGGAGGCCGAGGCAGGCGGATCACAAGGTCAGGAGATTGAGACCATCCTGGCTAACACAGAGAAACCCCATCTCTACTAAAAATACAAAAAATTAGCCGGGCGTGGTGGCGGGTGCCTGTAGTCCCAGCTACTCGGGAGGCTGAGGCAGGAGAATGGTGTGAACCCAGGAGGCAGAGCTTGCAGTGAGCCGAGATTCCACCACTGCACTCCAGCCTAGGCAACAGAGCAAGACTCTATCTCAAAAAAATAAATAAATAAATAAAATAATGTGTTTTTTTTCTTTTTACTTTTTAAGCACACGACCTTTCCCCAAATATGGCCCAAGCTTCTACTTTGGGGAGATTAAGATTTATCTAGAAGAAATGCATATGCAAAGACCAAGAAAGAAGAAATATTCAACTTCTGACATTCGGAAAATAAGATACTGCATCAAAACAAGAGCTCTGCAAATCAAATTATGTTGAGAACAGATTGCATAAAACTTTTACCCCTTTATCCTCTCTTTCCCATCTCTGCCGAGCTAAATTTTATTAGTTATACATAAAGACGACCTAGGAGAAAGAAGAAGAGCATTCTGCCCATTTTTGATATTAGAATAGTTGTGAGGAAAATAAAAGAGAAGAAAGGAAAGAAACATAAGTAGACACGTGTCAACTCTCCACTTCTCAACAGTCCCACCCTACTCACCGGAGCTCCATTTTCCATTGGAGAGTCTTAGGCTACCCCTAACACTGGGGGTGGAGTCACATCAATGTAAACCACAATGTGGTCAGGCAGAGGAGATACAGAGTTTTAGCATTCCTGAACAGTGCCAGATTACTGTGCAGGGTAGAACCAACCCAGATCTAACTAAAAATCTTGCCAGGAAGCTTCTCAGAGGGAAATCACTGCCATAAATTGAGGTAGCTTTAGAATAAGGTTTGCAAGGTGGAATGTTCAGGCCAATACCAAATGGGAGTCACAGCCAGATGTTCAAGGTTTCTATGGTCCCGCAACAGCCAAAGACAGGCTTGGAATCAGCCAGGGGGTACTCAATGAGAGAAATGAAGAAGAACTGACCATGAGTTCATCACTTGCAACCATGAGCACTGGAGGTCAATACGGCATTCAGCAACTAGGAGAACAAGAAACGATGCCCCAGAGAGAAGGGTGAGGAACAGTGAGCACAAGGTCAATACTCTGCACTCCACACCTCTGTCCTGCCCACTATCCCACATACCTCCCCATCTTGGAGAAGAGCTACAAAAAAGCATGAGATAACTGAGAGATGAGCAACATTCCCTAGAGAGAAGAATTATTACCTGAAGAGATTATGTAAATTATAGACTCAGTCTACTTTTAATCCAGACTGATTTAACAGTGACTTTTTTTCCCTAGGAAGCAATGAATAAATGAGCCTTATTAGAAAGTCCAGATCAATTATACACAAAATAATACACTTTTCTCTGTGCATCTAAATTGTAACCTAAGTGAATTTTGTGACCCCATGAAACATTTTCCTCTAATTCTATCAAAACTTCCACTAAGATACTCCATATGGTATCACTTCTAAGTCTTTGCTTATGTCCTCCATGCAATGTACTTAAGTAAACTCTACCATCCCTTAAAGTTCAGCAAAAATGCCACATTCACCACAACGCCTTCTCTATTTTTACCTTATTCATCTCTCTCTTCATTGACCTCCCTGGACAAAGATAATTTTAAGCTAGCCTGGACTCCTGGGATGACAAAGATCCCTAAAAAACAAAACAAACATTGAGGAGTTTCCCAGAGGCAGAGCAGTTTGCTTAGCTCCCGGTGGATGTGGAAGCTCTTGGAGCCTACCCAGGCCTCTCGGAAGCCCTGCTGTCAATGGGAACAGTGCTGCTGTCACAGCCCTACGCCAGACTCCTCTCAACACAAGTGCTTAGATTTCAGCTAGAACCCATGACCTGGAGAAAGCAAGCAGTCAAACACCCAGTAAATGCCATGTCTACAGCACTTGTCTTTCACCACAACGGTGGTAAGAAACTACTACAACTAAATACAAAACACTTCTTGCCCCCAGGGAAACTATTCCTCTCAGCTAAAAATAAACAAAATAACCCTATGCATTTAATCAACACCTTAATATACATTCAACTCATTTATAAAATATAAAGTGAAATAACAGAATCCTTAGAATAAATAATTCTTTTGTTTACACAGTATAACGTCTCACAGTGGAAAGAGAAAATATATTCTTGAAAACCTGAGGCAATTAACTGTTAATTAACTGTTAACTCTCTCAAATTATTTACTTTATTTATTTAATCGTAAACTTCATTTTATCTACTGCTCAGCAAAATCCAGGGAAGAAAGAATAAGGAAAGTTTCCTAAGCCCATGTTTGTCTTACTTTTTTATATTTGTATGCAAAAAAACTTAGTTTAAGTTTTAGTTTAAGGGTTAGTTCAAGTTCCAGTAACTGTTATTAGTTGCAGAACCCTGGACAAATTAAATGTCCAAAGTGTCAGGGGTTTTATTATTATTTACAAAATAGGAATAATAGTACTATAGATAGTAGTCATGAAGTTGTTATGACAAAATGAAATGACACATTTAAACCACTAGCACCTTATCTAACAGCAGCTAATGTTAAGTGTGATAAGTGATGGAATCTTCCAGAAGATATGGTAGGGAAGATAGAGGAGGGCAGGCTTAATTGTGCAGTGACGGTGATTTCTCTTTGGTTGTCGGCTCTAACTGGCATGGCCACAACCCCACCCAGTAAGGGGTTGAATGTATACTAAGGCATTGATCAAATGGGTAGGGTTATTTTGTTTATTTTTAGCTGAGAGGAATAGTTTCCCTGGGGACAAGAACTGTTTTGTATTTAGTTGTAGTAGTTTCTTACCACCAGGGTGATGATCTGTCATAAGGCATATGACACTGGACTGGAAAGAGAAGTGGGAGTCGGGGAGAATTCCATGAAGAAGAACTATTATGTGCAAAGGGCAAGAAGGCAGGAAGGGGTGGTGAGTCCCAGGAACCACAGGACATATGAAGGCAGACAATTTTCAATTCCACGGCACTTGGGTGAAATCATTCTCTGCTCTAGGTCTAGGTCTCTGTTCACACCCTCTGTCCTAAGCATGCTTAAAAATTTAGCTCAAATCCCACCTTATCCTGTAATCCTCCTCTGACTAATCTACCTATACCCATCTCTTCTTTTCCTGATTTCCTATAAAATGCATAACTCTTAAGAAAGGACCACAATAGGTTGTATCCTATTTTACACTGCTTTCTAAACATTTGTTTTTATATAAACCTTTGTCACACAAATCAAAAGTTCCTTGAGGACAGTGGCTAAATCAAAAATCATGAGTAATAATATCACCAAATAATTTTTAGATAATTGTTTTATAGTTTTAAAAGATACAGGTTCTCTTGACCCTCCAAACAATCCAAAGAGGAAGGCAAAGTGTTCATGACATAATGGATTCCATTTTACTGCTGAGGACACCAAAGTCCAAAGATGGCAAAAGACTGGCCTGAGGTCACACAGATAAAGAAATGCAGGGGCAAGCCAGACAAGGCAGGCATGCCAACCTCATCCTTCACAGCTGCCCACCTAGTCCACAAGAGTGCTGGACTCATATTAGGTGCTTAACAGTCCTTGTCTTTTTCACTAAAAGGCCACTTGCTGACCAAAAAAAAAAAAAAAAAAAATAGTAAAGACCCTAAAATATTTTGCTTCCTACCATAAGTAAATATCTAAATAATTCTTACACAAATTTCTACACTTGGCAATTTACCAATCCCTGTTTTACCAATCCTTGAAATGGCATAAAATAAATCATCCCCTACACATTCAACTATAAACAAATACAAAATCTCACATCTGAATCCAAAAGCTCTTCCTGCACAAATGATCTTGACTTATGTATTTGTAAATCTTTCTAAAACAGTAAATCTTGGCTTAATCTAGCCAATGAGGCACTGAAAACAGAATTTCTTTCTGTAGACACAGTAATGAAAGAATGTCTTTTGCTGAAAAAGACAGAGGCAAATGACAAGAAAAACTGGGGATCACCCTGTAGTTCTACATAAATAGAGAACGCTTGTCCCAATCAAAAATACTACACTATTCTGATTGAATCATAATTTTAAAAAGTGACACCCACTGAAGCTGGGCACAGTGGCTCATGCCTGTAACCTCACCACTTTGGGAGGCTGCGGCAAGTTATCACTTGAGGCCATGAGTTTGAGACCAGCCTGGCCAACATGGTGAAACTCCATCTCTACTAAAAACACAAAAATTAGCCGAGTGTGATGGTACACACCTGTAATCCCAGCTACTTGGGAGGCTGAGGCAGGAGAATCACTTGAACCCAGGAGGCACAGGTTGCAGTGAGCCGAAATTGCGCCACTGCACTCCAGCCTGGGTGACAGAGTGAGACTCTGTCTCAGAACAAAAACAAAAACAAAAACAAAACAACTAAAAAGTGACACCCATTGAATCACATGCACTCAAAACAAAAGAGGGAAAAAAAATCATGAATTAAAAACACAGTTGGCTGGGCGCAGTGGCTCATGCCTGTAATCCCAGCACTTTGGGAGGCTGAGATGGGCAGATCATGAGGTCAGGAGATCGAGACCATCCTGGCCAACATGGTGAAACCCCGTCTCTACTAAAATACAAAAACTTAGCTGGGCATGGTGGCGCGTGCCTGTAGTCTCAGCTACTTGGGAGGCTGAGACAGAGGAATCACTTGAACCCGGGAGGCGGAGGTTGCAGTGAGCCGAGATTGCGCCACTGCACTGCAGACTGGGCGACACAGCAAGACTGTGTCTCCAGGAAAAAAAAAAAAAACAGTCACCCAAAGACAGACAGAAGGACAGGTCACTGCTACTATCCAATGAAGTCTCTGTGAATTCTACGCAGCCCGGCATCTCAAAGATAAGGTCTTTTCTGCATCAAGAGAGCAACACAGAGAATAAGTTCTCATCTAGTATGAATGAGGGGGAGGCTGCATTGAAAAATTACATTCCAGAAGTATACTATGAGGGCTAGCCATTGTTTTTCATTTGCTTCACTGGGTTAGAGAGAAAACCTTTATGGGGGTTATCCAAGAAACACACACTAACGCACTCCTGGGATTCTCAACAGGAAGGTTTGGGTTAGCAACCACGCTGACTCATATTTAGCCAAGTATCTTGCTGAGGAGACTGCCTGTCTTCTATTTTGTTCTCTGGATGCTGCTTTCTGAAAGAGCAACACAGGTAAACAGATTCTCAAGACTAAGACTAATGAACCTGCTTGAAAACACTGCGGGGAAGGGAGAGTAAAGAAGAAGAGAAAAGAAGCCTTCAGGATTTATAATCCTGAAGACTCAAGGGGTAAATAACATTCTGCAACTCTCAATCTCTCCCACTGTCAACACCTCAGTTTATCAGAGCCCTGATTAAACTCTCCTTTCTGCACCTCTGCCTGACTGGCAGATGTCACCATAAATGTTATCACCTAAGACTAAGGCAGCTCAACCTGCTGAAGGTCTGTCAGTAGTAAAAACACATATGAAGGACGATGCTGCCTGGCTTCTGAGTAAACGTCCGTGGGAGCAAGGAAATGGTTGTTAAGAGGCTGGATGTGATCAGATTTCTTTGGGTGGTGATGATGTGGTGGTCTTAAGTGAAACTCAGTTAACTGGAGAACTGTAACTGAGAGTAAGGGATACATTAGCACCACATCAGGCTACTTTATGTTTCTCTTCATGCTGATGAATTCTTTGAGAGCTGTGGGACACATTTAATACTGGGAGTGGTAGCAGCAGTCCCTTCATACAAATTGCAACAGTCAGCACCAACTTTTACCAGAATTGCTTTCCGATTACAGAGATGCTGGAGTTGAGGACCTTAGGACTGCAAACGCTTATCAAAGGAAGTGAGAATCCAAGCACATAATATATCAATATTTTGGTTAAGAATGCTTATTCTGACAACAGACTCTCTGGGTTTAAATCTTACCTCTACCACTCATTAAATTTGATCCTAGTTGAGTCACAACTTCATCTATAAATAAGATTAAAATTAGATGAGGCAAACAAAATAATAATCACAAATGCTGTAAGTGGTAAACACAATGGTAGATCTTAAATATTAAATAAATACTATTACGATGAAGAAACAGTGCATTATATGCCGTAAGCTATTTCCCAGGATCCATGTTATAAACTCATCCACTAACTACTATGGCAAACAGTCCTCATCAAATAGTCTGAGTATTGTCTGACAGCTGCAGTCAATAATTTTGGGGTCTGAAGCTATTTGACAATCTAATTCTTTAGCCCATGAGAGTGTTTCCCAAATGTGTTTAATAATAAGAATCATCTAGAGTACTTGCTAAAAATACAAATTCATGGGCTCCACCCCAACCCTACTCCACAAGAATTTCTTCAGCAAAGGTCCGAAATGTGTTTTCACAATCATAAACACACACGCAAATTCCACCCATCAGGGGAGCCTTGTTATTTAGGTAAATCTGGGGAACACTACATAGTCCAACCCAGGACAATGTGAATATACTGAACTCTTAATCACCAGACCCAAAGTTGTTGACAATATTTGCCTCAAAAATTCCCAGCACTTTTCAAAGTCATATTTAATATTTCGTTAAATCGTTTTTTCTACAACACCTTCGCAATCACATTACCTCAGTTTACAGAATAGACACTTCAGCAATATATATATTTCTTTTAAAATTCCCTTAGCACATTTAAGATAAATCCCTATTCTGGAAATAAAGAAATAATTATTTGAACTAAGTTATATTTCTCTCTTACACATTGATATGGTTTGGCTCTGTCCCCACCCAAATCTCAAATTGAATTCTATCTCCCAGAATTCCCCCATATTGTGGGAAGGACCCAGGGAGAGGTAATTGAATCATGGGGGCCAGTCTTTCCCCTGCTATTCTCATAATAGTGAATAAGTCTCACGAGATTTGATGGGTTTATCAGGGGTTTCCCCTTTTGCTTCGTCCTAATTCGGTCTTGCTTCTGCCATGTAAAAAGTGCCCTTCACCCTCTACATGATTCTGAGGCCTCCCCAGCCATGTGGAACTGTAAGTCCAATTAAACCTCTTTTTCTTCCCAGTCTTATGTATGTCTTTATCAGCAGCATGAAAACAGACTAATACACATATGTATCTCTTGAATTCTGAGTACTCCAACAGAGGCCAAACTATACCCTTCCATACTACATTTAATATTTAAATAAACAAGTAAACTCTATTATACCTGACTATAATTACAAATCAAAGATAAATCAAAAATACACAAAAATTATCTTCGAGCTTATTTTGTTGTTGCCTCCTTAACACCCACAACAATTTTGAATGACATTGGAAAATAATCTTTGGAAATATACAGTCACTAGAAACTTGAGGAAGCTCAGCAAAGACACATAGGCAACATACAAGAACTGAAAGCACACACATACACACACACACAAAACACCTCATGGGGAAATTTCTGTCTTTAATGAGGTTAAAAAATATACAAGAAATACTTAAATAATTTCTCTTATTCCATTCATTCAGTCCTGATCCTGACTCAACTTCAAACTTAAAAAAAAAAAATTAAGAACCTCTTTTCAAAGGTTTAAATAATTTCCTCTTTGTAGATGATCTGAGAAAGGCTTAGAATAGATTTTGTTCAATATTAACACTAACTGTCCATGCTATTCAGAAACATCTTGATGCCACAAACATCTGTCACAACTCTGTGATTTTACAAAGTCTACCATTTGATAGATGGAGCTAAACCCACAAACATGATTTCACCTAAACACTACTAAGTACATGACACATCTGCAGAATCAGATAGTATTTTTTAAAGGTTATGTAAACCTAGGCCGGGCATGGTGACTTACACTTGTAATCCCAGCATTTTGGGAGGCTGAGGCGGACAGATCACTTGAGGTCAGGAGTCCGAGGCCAGCCTGGCCAACATGGTGAAACCCCATCTCTAGTGAAAATACAAAAAGTAGCTGGGCATGGTGCGGCATACCTGTAATCCCAGCTACTCAGGAGGCTGAGGCAGTAGAATCGCTTGAACCCAGGAGGTAGAGGTTGCAGTAAGCCGAGATTGCATCATTGCACTCCAGTCTGGGAGACAGACGGAGACTCCATCTCAAAAAAAAAAAAGTTAAAAAAAGCTTACGTAAAGTTGGCCTGACTGAATTTGCTGACCGTCTCTATGCCAGATATCACCACTTTTACAAATGCAGTATGAATCTACCAAATATAGAATTCAAACAGCAAAGTCCGAGGCTGCTTGTTTGTTGTCATCTAAATCTCCATTTTAGTGTACTCAGGAGTGGTATTGTATTTACTTCTTTTAAACATTAATCCAGGGTGGACAGGTGGCTCACACCTGTAATCCCAGCACTTTGGGAGGCCAAGGTGGGCGGATCACTTGAGGGTAGGAGTTCCAGACCAGCCTGGCCAATATGGTGAAACCCCGTCTCTACTAAAAATACAAAAATTAGCCAGATGTGGTGGTACACACCTATAATCCCAGCCACTCAGGAGGCTGAGGCAGGAGAATCGCTTGAACCCGAAGGCAGAGGTTGCAGTGAGCTGAGATCACGCCACTGCACTCCAACCTGAGCAACAGAGTGAGACTCCATCTCAAAAAATAATAATAATCCAGAGCCAAACTAGTTTTGAAAAAAAAAAATGTTTCAATAAGAAGTTTTCTGAATTCAGCAGCACATCAAAAAGCTTATCCACCATGATCAAGTGGGCTTCATCCCTGGGATGCAAGGCTGGTTCAATATACGCAAATCAATAAATGTAATCCAGCATATAAACAGAGCCAAAGACAAAAACCACATGATTATCTCAATAGATGCAGAAAAAGCCTTTGACAAAATTCAACAACCCTTCATGCTAAAAACTCTCAATAAATTAGGTATTGATGGGACATATTTCAAAATAATAAGAGCTATCTATGACAAACCCACAGCCAATATCATACTCAATGGGCAAAAACTGGAAGCATTCCCTTTGAAAACTGGCACAAGACAGGGATGCCCTCTCTCACCACTCCTATTCAACATAGTGTTGGAAGTTCTGGCCAGGGCAATTAGGCAGGAGAAGGAAATAAAGGGTATTCAATTAGGAAAAGAGGAAGTCAAATTGTCCCTCTTTGCAGATGACATGATTGTATATCTAGAAAACCCCATTGTCTCAGCCCAAAATCTCCTTAAGCTGATAAGCAACTTCAGCAAAGTCTCAGGATACAAAATCAATGTACAAAAATCACAAGCATTCTTATACACCAACAACAGACAAACAGAGAGCCAAATCATGAGTGAACTCCCATTCACAATTGCTTCAAAGACAATAAAATACCTAGGAATCCAATTTACAAGGGATGTGAAGGACCTCTTCAAGGAGAACTACAAACCACTGCTCAAGGAAATAAAAGACGATACAAAGAAATGGAAGAACATTCCATGCTCATGGGTAGGAAGAATCAATATCGTGAAAGTGGCCATACTGCCCAAGGTAATTTACAGATTCAATGCCATCCCCATCAAGCTACCAATGACTTTCTTCACAGAATTGGAAAAAACTACTTTCAAGTTCATATGGAACCAAAAAAGAGCCCGCATCGCCAAGTCAATCCTAAGCCAAAAGAACAAAGCTGGAGGCATCACACTACCTGACTTCAAACTATACTACAAGGCTACAGTTACCAAAACAGCATGGTACTGGTACCAAAACAGAGATATAGATCAATGGAACAGAACAGAGCCCTCAGAAATAACGCCACATATCTGCAGCTATCTGATCTTTGACAAACCTGAGAAAAACAAGCAATGGGGAAAGGATTCCCTATTTAATAAATGGTGCTGGGAAAACTGGCTAGCCATATGTAGAAAGCTGAAACTGGATCCCTTCCTTACACCTTATACAAAAATCAATTCAAGATGGATTAAAGACTTAAACCTTAGACCTAAAACCATAAAAACCCTAGAAGAAAACCTAGGCATTACCATTCAGGACATAGACATGGGCAAGGACTTCATGTCTAAAACACCAAAAGCAATGGCAACAAAAGCCAAAATTGACAAATGGGATCTAATTAAACTAAAGAGCTTCTGTACAGCAAAAGAAACTACCATCAGAGTGAACAGGCAACCTACAAAATGGGAGAAAATTTTCGCAACCTACTCATCTGACAAAGGGCTAATATCCAGAATCTACAATGAACTCAAACAAATTTACAAGAAAAAAACAAACAATCCCATCAAAAAGTGGGCAAAGGACATGAACAGACACTTCTCAAAAGAAGACATTTATGCAGCCAAAAAACACATGAAAAAATGCTCACCATCACTGGCCATCAGAGAAATGCAAATCAAAACCACAATGAGATACCATCTCACACCAGTTAGAATGGCAATCATTAAAAAGTCAGGAAACAACAGGTGCTGGAGAGGATGTGGAGAAATAGGAACACTTTGACACTGTTGGTGGGACTGTAAACTAGTTCAACCATTGTGGAAGTCAGTGTGGCGATTCCTCAGGGATCTAGAACTGGAAATACCATTTGACCCAGCCATCCCATTACTGGGTATATACCCAAAGGACTATAAATCATGCTGCTATAAAGACACATGCACCCGTATGTTTATTGCGGCATTATTCACGATAGCAAAGACTTGGAACCAACCCAAATGTCCAACAATGATAGACTGGATTAAGAAAATGTGGCACATATACACCATGGAATACTATGCAGCCATAAAAAATGATGAGTTCATGTCCTTTGTAGGGACATGGATGAAACTGGAAATCATCATTCTCAGTAAACTATCACAAGAACAAAAAAACAAACACCGCATATTCTCACTCATAGGTGGGAATTGAACAATGAGATCACATGGACACAGGAAGGGGAATATCACACTCTGAGGACTGTTGTGGGGTGGGGGAAGGGGGGAGGGATAGCATTGGGAGATATACCTAATGCTAAATGACGAGATAGTGGGTGCAGCGCACCAGCATGGCACATGTATACATATGTAACTAACCTGCACAATGTGCACATGTACCCTAAAACTTAAAGTATAATAATAATAAAAAAAAAGAAAAAAAAAGTTTTCTATAGATCCTTCTATTGGAAAATCATTATACCATATTTTTCCTCTTTTCTGACTATCTAAACACTGCCGTTACTTTGAGACAGTAATTTTCTAAAAAGTAAAAGCAGAATTTCTTTATGTTGCTTTGGAAATTTTTCAGGTAACTTTTGTATATCTAAGGGTGTTTGGTGAACACTATGTAAAGGAGACAGTTGTATTTTCTCCATAATTAATTCTGCTTCAAAATTCTTATGTAACTATCTAAATGTTATAATTTTACAGTAGCATCTCAACTAACATAAAGTCACAATTTAAAAAGTCATCTCTCTAGCATCGTCAAGTAAAGCAAATAAAACAAGACCACAGACCAGTAACAAGGATACCAGACAATAAATACAATTAGTTTTAGATATTTTACTCAAAGTAGTCTCTTGACTTCGGATTAAAGCCCTATTTTGTGGCATTTTGGACATAATTCTCATTTTTCAAGCAATCAAAGTACTAAAAAAAGCAAAAAGTGTGCGTGTGTGTATGTGTGTGTGTGTTATGTTGTAATCTGGAAAAAAAGAGTGATGAGAAAGGGAATAGAAGGAGAAGAGAAGGGGACTTGGCATGAGCCCACTAGAGACAAAAATACTGCAGCCATCTAATAACTGACAAAAATCAGAGGCCAAAAACAGATTGAAGAAATCAGCCCTGAGAACACTTAGAGAAGGGACAAACAGCCCCATTAAAATCAGTAATCCTTAAGAAAGAAGAGTTTTTTAAAGTATGTTAATAATGAGAATAATCAAGAGATTAATTTATGTTCAATATAATCTATTTTTAGAAGGCAAGAAAGCATGCATTTTTAAAGTTGCTCATCAGTGATAATTAAAATGTTTTCATCGTCAGAAAGGTAAAACTTAGTTATCTGAAAAATTTCTCTTAATTTGAATAATGCATTATTCAAATATGCCAGATAAATGAGGAACTACTTAGCTTAGTGTCTTAAGCATTTATACATCTTTTCAAAATATATTATAAATCAACCAGTGCCAAGTAATGAAAAACTTAGGCCACTGATCAAAGGAAGAAAGAAGTTTTTAAAGCAACCAGCAAAGATGCGGTTAGGAAATAAAGAATGCTCTATTCATTTCAGAAAATGAATAGGGAGTAGAGACGTGGGAGTGGGAGGAATTAGGGTGGGGTGGGGGTGGCAGGAGAGGGAGCGTAAGGAAGAAAGAGGGAAAGGTTAAATGTTCAAGAATTTATCTATTTAAACAAGAGATTTCTTTCTGGTCGATTTTGGTTAGTTTTTCCTAACACATTTACTTTGGGATAAACATATTTTACAATATTAAACCAGCGGCCACTAAGAAAAGAGGGTATAGAATTAAATCCATTTTATTTCTACTTATTTGCCTGAGTATCAATCCATATTTTAAGTAAATTTTAAAAAATAGTCAAGTAAATAAAAATTAATTTAGATAAGTATCTTTGCAAGTGATTAGAATATTTTTAAATGTCATTAAAATATTTCAAAATTTCCCAAGAGCATAACTGAGACATAACTTTTCCTTATGTATTTAAATATTCTATAAATACTTTTCAGCTATTTCTAGAAAGTTAAAACACTATTAAAAGAACATGGAACAGTGACCATCTCCAGGCTCCATGGAAATAACAATCCTAGCTCTATCCCAAATAGAATCATCATGATGATATTGAATAATAAAAGACCTACTTGGTGGCTGGACGGGTTGGCTCACACCTGTAATCCCAGCACTTTGGGAGGCCAAGGCAGGTGGATCACTTGAGATCAGGAGTTCGAGACCAGCCTGGCCAACATGGTGAAACCCCATCTTTACTAAAAATACAAAAATTAGGTGGGCGTGGTGGTACGCCTGTAATCCCAGCAACTTGGGAGACTAAGGCAGGAGAATCGCTTGTTGGACCCAGGAGGCGGAGGTTGCAGTGAGCTGAGATCACGCCACTGCACTCTAGCCTAGGTAACAGAGCAAGACTCCATCTCAGAAAAACAAACAAACAAAAAGACCTACTTGGTAAGGTTAATTTCAAATTTATTCTTGACAACTTCACAATAAAACTATCAAAAAAGCTACCAAAGGCAACGTAAGAATACCAATTAAGAAACACTACTTAGAACTATAAAACAGATGTCATGCAAACTACAAAGGAGCCACTCATCGTGATAAAAATAACAAGAGGTAAAAAACTAAAATGTGTGTTGTCTTTTCATTTAAAAGTTACCAAAAATAAACCTAAAACTGCTCTAAAAAATAAAGTTTTTCTTTTAAGTTACCAAGATAAAAGAGAAATTCTTTCTCAATTAACTGTAGGAAGATATAGCAAGAACTTTGCATTAAACAAACTGAAATTGTAGAGCTTAAATGCAAACAATGGAAAGCCATCAATGTCCCCTAGATTGCAACACATCTACTTTATGAACTCCTCTGCAGAAAGTTAGAAAGATCTAGGCGGGGCTGAGAACGCCGGGGAAAAGGGAGAAGGCAGCAAGAATGGATCCTCAGCACTGAAAAATCACAGACCTCCTAACTGGCCTTCCTGCCTCCAGAACCCCAACACCCCACCCAGCAAGGTATCCCCCAAACTCAGTACTTATTTTTGTAAAACTGATAATCTGATCATGTTAGTCCACCATGTTACAACAACAACAGTAATAACTCACACTGGTTAACTTTAGCTTATACCAAATATTTTATTATACCTTTCCTTCAGTCAAAAATTATTAACCTTAATATATGTACAACTGACTCTATAACAATGCGGGGGTTAGAGGCACCAATCTCTGTGCAGCTGAAAGTCCATGTATAACTTCTGAATCTCTCAAATCTTAACAACTAAAAGCCTACTGCTGACTAGAAACCTTACCAATACAGTCAACTGACACATACTTTATATGGTGTATGTATTACATACCGTGTTCTTAAAACAAAGTAAGCTAGAGAAAAGAAAATGTTATTAAGAAAATCGTAAGGAAGAGAAAATATATTTACTACTCATTGAGTGGAAGTGGATCATCATCAAGGTCTTCATCCTCATCGTCTTCATGTTGAGTAGGCTGAGGAGGAGGAGGTAGAGGAGCAAATCCTCTATTTGCTGTCTCAGGGGTGACAGAGGCAGAAAATCCACCTATCAGTGAACCCATCCAGTTTAAACTCATGTTGTTCCAGGGTCAAATGTATATTTTTTATAAGCTATATATATGATTTACTGTACTAAGATATATATATTAGGTGAGTGCAAAAGTAAATTGTGGTTTTTGCATTGTTGGAATTTGCTGCTTGATACTGGCATACACTCTCAGATAAATGTGGTTATATTATACATCAGTTTAATGGGCATTTCTTGCTTTATGGTTTTTTGCTAATGACTTATTACTTATTTATTTTATGTTTATTTTAGACTATGGAAATGATGTTAGACAAAAAGTAAATTCAAGTGATTTTTTTATTCAAGTTCAAATGGGTCATAAAGCAGTGGAGACAACTCACAACATCAACAACGCCTTTAGCCCAGCAACTGCTAATGAACGTACAGTGCAGTGGTGGTTCAAGACACTTTTCAAAGGAGATGAGAACCTTGAAGATGAGGAGCATAGTGGCCAAACCACTGGAAGTTGACAATGACCAACTGAGAGCAATCATTGAAGCTGATCCTCTTAAAACTATACTAGAAGTTGACAAAGCACTCAACGTTGACCATTCCACAGTCGTTCAGCGTTTAAAGCAAATTGTAAAGGTGAAAAAACTCGGTAAGTGGGTGCCTCATGAGCTGAAGTGTCATCTTCTCTTGTTCTATGCAAGAACACTGAACCATTTCTCAATCGGATTGTGATGTGCAACGAAAATTGGACTTTAATATGCATGTGTTAACCTCCTCTTACTTCCAGGTTGTGCTTCCTGCCACTCTGCAAAGCTTCTAAGACACAGCCAATCCATCCAGGGGTACCTGGGCACTGGAGCTACTGAAACTCCTGTCCCAGTGCAAGTGATAGCAAATGGGCAAAGGCCAGGCCTTCATCACCTCAGGGGAGGCTGGGATAGATGTGATAGAAGGTGAGGTGATGGCAGAAGCAAGCAGACAATCACAGTTATGCCAGGGAATATCCTGGGGCCATGCCGAAGAGGAAGAAGAGCAAGTTGCTCAGGCTTGGGCAGGCGTGATGCAGAAGATTTGAGAGGCAGATAAACTGGATCTGGTGCAATCCTCTCCTTCTGTCGCTCAGATTAATTTGCACTCTCTTATGAAAGGCAGATCTAAAAGATGCCCTCATCTCTTCTCCAAGAGAAGAGGTACAAGTCCAGTTCTTCATGGTTGTGAAGAATTGCACTTGCACTTGCCTAGAAAGAGATTTAGTAAACCAAGGTATGATTTGTGCCTTTTGCAGCTGGTCCTGTAAATCTGTGTTTGTCATCTCCCTCCTGCACCTCCTACGTCAGATTCCCTTCACCCACAGCCAGTGCTCTGGGTGGTCTGGTTTTTGCCTTATGGGGTGACCCAGACTTTTATTCCCAAAAGGCTTGGGCCTATAGTTTCCTTGCTTTTGTCAGGCTATGGCTGTTCAAAATGTCCATTCACAGTTGCCACTAGGCAGCAAAAGACCAGAAGACAGCCCAGGGAATCCCCTGGGCCAGAGATACTCCTCCCTGTCCCCAGTATGTAGCAATAACCTTAACTCCTCCTGGTGTTCACAGTTCATTGGTCTACCAATGCTTCTTTATGCCTGCTGGTGCACTGTCATAAGCTCAAAGTGAATATATTGTGGTCGCAGCTTCCAGTCAAGAGAATTCTTACTGTGTCCTGTGGCTAAAGTGTTCCTCACCCCATCCTCCATGAATCAGGACCTCTTACCTGGGAGAGCTTAAGACTGCAGGGACAAGAAGCACAAAATCTACAAGTGGGTCACTGTAACTGATGGCAGAAGGTAAATCCAACTTCCACCCTTTGATTTTCAGATTCTCTTGTTCTATTACCAACTCAGCCCCATATATACCACATTGAACCCCACGGAGTTGTCCACAAGTTGCTGCTTTTACTGAATATTTATTCCATTCCACAGGCCACTCAAACCTCCTATCCAAATGCTTCTGGGTATTAGAAACATACTAACTCCAGTGAATCTTGTGATCATGAGTTCCAGTATAAAATAGGTCCCTTGGTCAAAGGAAATACTGTGTGGGTTACCACATTGATATTGCAAGAAAGAAAAAATATCTTTTCTTTCTACCCATCTAAGTTCTCGCCTAGAGCCCCTGTAACAAAAGATTATCAAAAGAAAAGCATACAGATTTATTTAATATAAGTTTTACATAACATGGGAGCCATTCTTAAAGCAAATGAAGAACCAAAGACGTGGTTAAACCTTCATTTTTGTGGTCAAACCTGAGCGTTTTTGTGTTTCATTTGATGAAGAGCTATGGAAATATATGAAAGGACAAAGAGGCTGAGCTAAGTGTAATAAACTGGCGAAACTTAGCAAGGCCTGTTCACTTCGACTCCTCTCACTGTCCTTCCAATCTTCAGAGATAAGAATACTTCTTTCCTCTGGATACAGGGAGGGTACCTGTCACATGAGGGCCTTATAACCTGCTTCAGGGGAGAACCGGAGATGCCATTTCTTAAATTCCTTTAGCTTAAAATATTTAATAAGCCAAGGTGCCATGTTTCAGTAGCTTGTCCTGAACCCCATCAACATATTAGGCCCTGAGTCAATGGACTGAACATTCACATGGTGATACTGGCAGGATCTCTGCCTGCAGGGGAATAAAAAACCTCTACGTGGAGTATATGTCAATTCTGGTAAGGATGCTTTAGTACGTCTTTTAAGGTCCAAGACCTCCAAGATGACCCATCTGCCATCAGACTAGGCGGCAACTGGTCTCCTACATATCAAGGGCTTGGTATTGATCCCAGGTTGGGCATTCAGCCATAGGGTCAATAATTCATTCCTTGTCGCCCTGGTAAAACAAAAAATGTCCTGGGGAATAAAAGTGGTTACGTTTACGGCCAGATGCAGTGGCTCACACCTGTAATCCCAGCACTTAGGCACACTGAGGCAGGAGGATCACTTGAGGCCAGGAGTTCAAAACCAGCCTAGGCAACACAGCATAACCCTACCTCTACAAAAAAAATTAAAAATTAGCTAAGTGGGCTGGGCACGATGGCTCACGCCTGTAATCCCAGCACTTTGGGAGGCAAAGGCGGGTGGATCACGAGGTCAGGAGATCAAGACTATCCTGGCTAACACGGTGAAGCCCCATCTCTACTAAAAAAAAAAATACAAAAAATTAACCAGGCATGGTGGTGGGTGCCTGTAGTCCCAGCTACTTTGGAGGCTGAGGCAGGAGAATGGTGTGAATCCGGGAGGCGGAGCTTGCAGTGAGCTGAGATCGCACCACTGCATTCCAGCCTGGGCAACAGAGCGAGACTCCGTCTCAAAAAAATAAATAAATAAATAAATAAAAATTAGCTAAGTGTGGTGGCACATGCCCATAATCCTAGCTATTTGGGAGGTGGAAAGGTCACTTGAGCCCAAGGGTTTGAAGCTGCAGTAAGCCAAGGTCATGCCACCACACTCTAGCTTGGGTGACAGAATGAGACTCTCTTCAAAAAAAAAAAAAAAGGTGGTGAATTCTCAAGTCTTACAAAGTATATTTCTAATATTTCTGCCCACTATGAATTTTGACCCCTTTCTCAATAACATGCCAAAGAAGCTCTGACATTTCCATATGCCCTTGCTAGAACATGTAATTCCAAATCACACAGGGGTAAGTACCCGCATGATAATACATCTTCATCCAGCAGAACCTTATATTCCATGCCCTCTCATCTTCCCATGTCCTCAAGATCTATTCTACAAATGTTTCCATAATACCCGAATTATTATGGCATATTATTTTAACATATACTATATTCTTCACAGAGCAGGGATCATAATTACCCACTTAGCCTATGCTAAGATGCTACTTAAGCAATTCAGCCTAGAAGTAGTGAGTGATGATGTGGCCAGATCTTGAGGAGAATAAGCATAATCATACATAGAACTAACTTCAGGAAAGGTCACTATATAGAATCCAGAGAAAGTAGGGCTATTTTCTCCTGGCTAAAATGACTTGGAAAAAATTAAGGATTCAATATTGTTCAGCACATATACCCAGAGGTCTCATTTCCAGGTGTCAGCATCCTACTATTTCTCTATCAAAGCCCTGGCTTTGACAGGTGATCTGTCAAAACTGTACCTTCAGTCTTATACTGCAGCCTTGCCACTCTTATATCTTGGGGTTAATTTTCAACATAATATTCTCTGTGAATGTGGAATGAGATCTCCCTTAAAGAAATTATAGCAGTTCTCTGGCTTTCACAGTGTGCCTTAAGCTGGCTGTGAGCTACCTGGGGCCCATCTTTTTCTTTTCTAAAGTCTTTAATGCTGCCAAAACACCAAAATCCTTACAGTTATCCATGCCCCACCCCCATGCCCATCAAATGCAACAGCTACATGTCTTTCTTTTCACCCATATCTTATGCAAAATTATCATCATTGAAAGCTGTGGTCATTGTGATGCCACTGCATGCCAAGGTCATTGTCAGCTCCCTGACGACTAGCAGTCCTTACAGCCTTCAAAGAGGGAAGCAATCTAATTTAACCCCATCCTAAGTACATATGTGCTAGGAGCACCACTGATTATAATTAGTTTTGCCTGAATTCTTTAGAAATCAGAGTTTGAGGCCAAGTTTACATGTCAATAATTCTTTGGTGAGCACAGGGAAGGAAGAGTAAGGGAAAAGGGGAAATGAGGCAGGACAGGAAGGAAAACAACTATAAGGTGGTACATTAACAAACTGGCTATGGCCTTGCAAGAAATCGCGGTAAGCTACAAGTCACAGGCATATCTCCACAGAGGCTAAATGGAGACCATTTGTCTCAGCTCCTTTCTATCTCCCACCACTCATGGGTCAGTGTTTGCTCCATAGCATAACTTTCTTGTATTAATATTTTGAGGCCTGACCCCTCCAAGCAGCTGCTGGTGAAGCTTGAGGCTTTGTAGGTCCAGATGCGGCACATCATGCCTTGAATTTGTTATGACTCTTACCCTAAAGGTCACAGGAAGGCTGTACCAAAGAGGAGGCTAAGATGACCTGTATGGTATCAAAGATGAGGTTACAATGAAAATGGCCAGGGCTTTACAACCACAAGAATGACATGAGCTGCTACTGTGGCCACTCTAAAAAGGAAGTAGGACAAGCAACTGAGGTTTGAGAAGGGAGCCAAATGAATCTGGGCAGAGAAATCAACTGGGCCCAGTATAAATTTTATGCCAATGTATGTTAACATTTAGGCTGGGTGCAGTGGCTCACACCTGTAATCCCAGCACTTTGAGAGGCCAAGGCAGGAAGATCACTTGAGGCCAGGAGTATAAGACTAGTCTGTGCCACATAGCAAGACCTCATCTCTACCAAACAAAAAAAAGAAAAAATTTTAAAAAGTTTACACAAAAGAGAAAATGTAAATATAATTTTGAAAAACTATTCAAATAGAAACAGGAGACCTGAAAACTCATAACAAATAAGAAATCTAAGTAGTTTAAAAAGTAATCTTGTAAGTTCAGATAATTTTACAAAGTTCTATCAAACTTTCAAGGAACAAAACCTAATATTATACAAGTTCATCCAAAAAACAGAAAAATTACTTACACTCCCAACCTCATTCCATTAGGTTACTATACCTGGATTCCTAAGTCTCTTATTGACAATAGGAAATAAAATTAAAAGCTAATCTCACAATAATCCACTTCTAGAATGGCAGTATGAGGAGCTCCACAGACCTACCCTCTCCAGCCAAAACAACCATACAAGTAAAATTTTAAATTAAAAAACTAAGAAAACACTTAAAGTCTCTGGAAATTGTCTTAAGAGCAAGAAGCAGATCAAGAAACATTAATTCAAGGAAGCATACTAAATCTTGGTAAGAAGGTTGAGAGTCTATGGTCTCTGAGCATAACATATCCCCTCCTTCCCTACCTCCAGCTCGATATGAGAGAAACTCCACTCCCTGTGGATATGGCCAAGAAAATGGGGCTCCAAGTCAAAGGATAAACTCTCTCACCAGGAGGGAGGGGCCACCAGCACTTCTCATCCCCCCAGCTCTAAACTACAACGGCTACATTCCTGGTGAGCATGGCCAAGTGGTCAGAGCTTCCTTCCTCCACCAGTCCCTACTCACAGGGTAAACGCTCTACACCCAGCAACAGCAGGCAGAGAATACTGGTGCCCTAAAGGCCTTCACCTTAGCTCATTCATAGTGCAAAGTTTCCATACCAGAAGAGGTAAGATAAGGAGACCAGAGGCTACCATCTCAGCCCAGCATCCTGCTAGAAAAATCATGGTGTCACTCCAAGAGAAACAGGCTACTACACCCTCCAGATCACTGGCTCCAGATCAATGGCTCAGAGATTTTGCCCAGAGGAAGAGACACTTCATAAGAACAGAGAGCTTCAAAATTCTCACTTAAAGGGACTAACTTTAACTGAAACAGCAGAGTATAAGGGAAGTTCAAGCCTAAGGGTACTCTAGAAACAATAAAGATTTTGGTGGTAAGCAATTAAGAGGAAGCTAGTAGATCCATGAGAGACATAAACTATATTATAAGCCAGATAGTTTACCATAGAGAACTAGGAAAAGAGTTAAGAGTCCTCCTGGAATCAGAACAAACCTCAAACACCGGCCTCAAAAACTACCCCAGCAGAGTGGCCTGAAACTAATTAGATCAGACTATGAAGCAAGTTATGACTGGAGCACTGTCACAACAATAGAACAATCGGCCAGCAATTCGTGGATCCTAATAGCTGGCGTGATAACAACAGAGGTGAGCAGCTTGACAAAGATATAAGGGAAAGAGACCGTCAGAGACAGAAACCCTTTCATCCAAAGGTAACTGTGGACATGCCCAAGGTTGCACCCACCATTAGAGAGGTAATATCAAAGACTTCCCCTAGCAGTAAAATAGTCCAGCCAGGTCACTAAACAAACAAGCAAATAACAAAAACAAGCATTAGGAGTGGAGGGAAGCAGATTCCAGTGTTACAATATATTGCCTAAAATGTCCAGTTCTCAACAGAAAATTACAAGACATACAAAGAAACAGGGAAATGAGACCAATATACAGGGAATTAAAGCAGGCACCAGAAACTACCTGTGAGAGAGCCCAGATGTTAGATCTGACAAACAAAGCTTTCAAAGTAGCCACTATAAATATGCTCAAAGAAATAAAGGAAACCATGCTTAAAGAAATAAAAGATGATGTGATGATAATGTCTCATCAAATGGAAAATATCAATAAAGAGATAAAAATTTTTCAAATTGAATTCTGGAGATAAAAAGTATAGTAACTGGCCAGGTGTGACAGTTCACACCTGTAATCCCAGCACTTTGGGAGGCCAAGGTGATTAGATCACTTGAGCTCAGGAGTTCAAGACCAGCCTGGGCAACATGGCAAAACCTCAGCTCTACAAACAAATACAAAAATTAGCCAGGTATGGTCACATGCACCTATGGTCCAGCTACTAGGGAGGCTGAGGTGGGATGATCACTTGAGCCTGGGAGGTTGAGGCTGCAGTGAGCCAAGATTGCACCACTGCACTCCAGCCTGGGTGACAAAAAAAAAAAAATTAACATTAAAAAATTAAAAGTATAATAACTGATATGCAAAACTGAGTAGAAGGAAGTATCTGTATCTTTCAACTGACAGAAGAAGGAATAAACAAACAAGATAGGTCAATGGAGATAGTACAACCTGAAGAACAGGTTTTTAGAAACGAAGAAAAATAAGCAGAACCTCAGAGAAATGTAGGACACCATTAAGCACATATATATGTAAGGGGGCTACCAAAAAGAGGAGAAAAAAAAAAGAAGCAAAACAAATTCATTTTAAGAAGAGCTGAAAACTCCCAGTTTAATGAAACATTAATTAAAAACAATAATCCAGGAAGCTCCACAAATTCCAAGCAGAATAAACACAAAGAGATCCACACTGGGTTGCATAATAGCAAAAATACTACAAGACAAAAAGAGAGTATTTTGAGAGCATATAAATAAATATGACTCTTTGCATACAAGGAAACTGCAATGAGGTTAACCGGTAACACAGAAAAAAATGGAGGCTCAAAGGCACCAGGAAAATAATGTTCAAAGTGCTAAAAGAAAAAAACCATCAACCATGAGTCTTATGTCCACTAAAACTATCTTTCGAAAATGAAGGTGAAAATATAGGTATAAATATTTGTTATTGGCTGGGCAGAGTGGCTCACGCCTATAACCCCAGCACTTTGGGAGGCTGAGGTGGGTGGATCACGAGGCCAGGAGTTTGAGATCAGCCTGGCCAAGATGGTGAAACCCCATCTCTACTAAAAATACAAAAATTAGCCAGGTGCGTGGTGGGCACCTGTAATCCCAGCTACTCGGGAGGCTGAGGCAGGGGAATCGCTTGAATCTGGGAGGTGGAGGTTGCAGTGAGCCAAGATGGCGCCACTGCACTCTGGCCTGGGTGACAGAGCAAGACTTCGTCTCAAAAAAATAAAAATAAAAAATTATTATCTTAGATTAGGCAATGGTTAATATGATACCAAAGCATAAAAACAAAAGAAAAAATAGATAAATCGGACATTATAAAAGTTGAAAATATTTTTGTTTCCATGGACACCATCTGGAAAGTGAAAAGACAATCTTAAGAATGAGAGGAAATATTTGCAAATCATATATCTGTTATGAGACATATATTTAGAAAACCTAAAGAACACTTACAACTCCATAACAAAAAGATAAATAACTCAATTTCTTGAAATGGACTAAGAATCTGACTAGACATTTCTCCAAATAAGACATACAAATGGCCAATAAGCACATGAAAACATGCTTGATATCATTAGCCATCAGAAAGATGCAAATCAATGCCACAATGACACAGTACTTCATTCTGACTACAATAGCTATTATCAAAAAGACAGATAATAGGCCGGCTGCGGTGACTCACACCTGTAATCCCAGAACTTTGGGAGGCCGAGGTGGGTGGATCACAAGGTCAGGAGATCGAGACCATCCTGGCTAACACGGTGAAACCCCATCTCTACTAAAAATACAAAAAATTAGCCGGACATGGTGGTGGGCACCTATAGTCCCAGCTACTCAGGAGGCTGAGGCAGGAGAATGGCGTGAACAAGGGAGGCGGAGCTTGCAGTGAGCTGAGATGGCACCACTGCACTCCAGCCTGGGCGACAGAGCGAGACTCTGTCTCAAAAAAAAAAAAAAAAAAAAAAAAGACAATAATACATGTTGATGAGGATGTAGAGAAACTGACACCTCATATACTAGGATGTATACTGCTATAGGCACTTTAGAAAACAACCTGGATGTTCCTCAAAATGTTAAACACAGAGTTATCATATGACCCACCAACTCCACTCCTAGGTATATACCCAGGAAAAATGAAATATATGTCCACATAAAACCTTGGGCATACATGTTTATAGCAATATTATTAATATTAACCAAAAAGTATAAACAACACAAATGTCCATCAACTAATGAATGTATAAATATATAGTCTATCTATGCAATGGGATATTATCTGGCAATGAAAATGAATTACGTAGTGACACATGCTACAATATGGATGAACCTCGAAAATAATATGCTAAGTGAAGAAAGCCAGTCACCAGAGATCTCATATTGTATCATTCCATTTTACGGAATGTCTAAAATAGACAAGTTTATAGAGACAGAAACTAGATTAGTGGCTACTGAGGGCTAGTGCGGTTGGGAGTAATATTAAAGTGACATGAAAAAAAGCTAATCTCATTAATGAACACATGCAAGAATCCTAAATGAGACATTAGCAAACCAAATCTAGCAGGCAATTAAAAAGATTATTAATTACATGTCATGATCAAATTGAGTCTATCCTAGAAAATAAGAGCAATTTAACATTATGAAATCAACAAATGTAACCCAACAAATGTAACATAGAGATTAAGGGAAGGGGGGGAACTTTTACGATCTCAAAGATACAGAATAATTTGATACAGCTTAATATCCATTTACTATGAATATAAAATAAAACAGTATATTAGGAATATAAGAGAACATCCTTTTTTTTTTCTAATGTTTTTTAAGATGGAGTCTCACTCTGTCACCCAGGCAGGAGTGAGGTGGCACGATCTCGGCTCACTGCAACCTCCACCTCCCAGATTCAAGCAATTCTCTTGCCTCAGCCTCCTGAGTAGCTCGGACTACAGGCACGTGCCACCACACCGGGCTAATTTCTTGTATTTTTAGTAAAGACAGGGTTTCACCATGTTGGCCAGGCTAATCTCGAACTCCTTATCTCAGGTGATCCACTGGCCTTTGCCTCCCAAAGTGCTGGGATTACAGGCATGAGCCACCGCACCCGTCCAAGAACAACCTCAACATGATAAATGTATATATAAAATCTAGATCAGTTATCATTCTTAATAGTGATGTTAGATTTAGACCCTACAAGAAAAAGAAAAATATGATCATTATCACTATTTCTATTCTATATTATATTCTAGTTAAGGCAATGTAATATTACCACAAGAATAAAAACCAGACCTATGGAGCAAAATTTAAAAGCTCAGAAACAGGCCCTCATATGTGTGTAGAGAAATTTGATATACAACAGGGCTGACATTAATGGACAATTACTCTAGAATGAAAGGATAGATACATTCAATAAATTGCATTTGGACAATAGGTTATACATAAATAGGTTACACATATTTATATGGAAAAAAATAGAATTGGACCTTAACTCACACCTCAAGAAAAAAATTCAATTACATATAGATTAAGACTATTAAGAGAATATCATTATGATGTTGGGGTGGACAAAGATGATTTAAACAAGGCACAAAAATTATAAACCGTAAATTAAAAGAATGAAAAATTTGACTACATTAAAATTGAGAACTTCTGTCACTAAAGCTACATAAAAAGGTAAAATAGAGAAACCCTAAGTCATAAAAAGATGTCTGCAATGCATTTAACTAAAAATTAGCATTCATAATAAACAAAAAAAAATCCCTAAAAGTCACTAAGAAAAGAACAACCAATCTAATACGAAATCAGCAAAAGATATGAACAGGCACTTCACAAAGTTGGCAGAGGAAAAGAACAAATGGACAAAATGCATGAAAATATGGCTCATCATCATTAACAATCATGAAAACATCAGTTATGACCCCACTAAGAAATTTTAAACCTGGATATTAGCAAGTATTTAATAAATCTGAAAATATTAAGTATGGACTAGGATGAGGTACAAATAGGAATTATCCACATGCTGCTGGTGGGAATGTGGACTACTTTGGAAAACAATATAGCACCGTCTTATACATTTAAAAAAGAGCATCTTGTTACTGGTGCACCAAGAGTTAATACAAGAAGCCCATAACATCATTCTTTATAATAGCAAATATATAGAAATACCCTATCAGGAAGTAAATGGAAAAATAAATTGTGATCTATTCCCCCAACAGTGTATCACAAAGCAATGAAAGAAAGTGAAATACATCTTCAAGCAAAATGGATGAATTTCAAAAACATAAATTTGAAGGGAAAAGTAAAACACAGGACACTACCTAAAGAGTCGTATTTTTATAAAGCTCAAAAATATGCTGGTTAGGTATACACACATATATGATAAAATTATTTTTTAAAAACCAGTGAATAATAAACATAAAACTCAGGTTAGTGTTTACTCAGATGGGAAGGAAAGATGCCAAATGCAACTGAGGAATGCATAAGAGGCTTACAAGTTATTGGTATTACTTTGTTTCACAAGCTGACTATTGGATGTACAAGCATTTACTCTATTTATTATTATTATATATCCTTTAAGAGAAGAATTATTTCATTTAAAAACATATATACATATATATACACTTTTTTTTTTTGAGATGGAGTTTTGCTCTTGTCGCCCAGGCTGGAGTGCAATGCCGCAATCTCAACTCACTGCAACCTCCGCCTCCCAGGTTCAAGTGATTCTCCTGTCTCAGCCTCTCCAGTAGCTGGGATTACAGGTGCCTGCCACCACGCCCAGCTAATTTTTGTATTTTTAGTAGAGACAGGGTTTCATCATGTTGGCCAGGCTGGTTTTGAACTCCTGACCTCAGGTGATCCATCCACCTCAGCCTCCCAAAGTGCTGGGATTACAGACGTGAGACACCACGCCCGGCCAAAACTTCTATATTTTTTAAAAGTAAGAAAAGAGCAGGAATCAGACAACCTGTTTTCTGGCCCAATCTCTGCTACAATATAAGGGCCTTTTCACAAAACACAGAACCATCTTAAATCTCATTTTGCATATCAAAAAAGGGTTTCAATTAGATTTTTTTAAGGTCACTTCTGCCATTGACTACAAGGATTTCTGTATGAATTAATAGCTTTTTTCCTTTAAATCATTCCTATAGTTATTAAGTAAAACTCAGAACCATAATAACAGAAAAATGATTAGGGTTAATTTGCATTTCTTTTATAATGTAATAAAATTATATATCAAAGGTAATGGCCAGTATTTGTAAGCAGTAAAAACTCCTGTTTATCTTTCTTTTCCTTTTTTTAAATAAAAATAACATGAAGCAGGTTCTCACCTATTCAAAACTACTTTCATTTTGGGGTCCTTCAAATTTTGTTTTCTTTTTCTGAGGCTTATGGAGATTTCATGGAGATAACTGAAATATTAACACACTTCTCTTAAAATATGAGAGAAATTAAATAGATACTCTGCTGGTAGAATTGTAAATTAGAATGATGACTGGAAAGCAACTGGTGATACATATAAAAGCTTTCATATAAATATTAAAGGACCTATTCATAAAGATGTTCACTGTACTGTTATGATAAAAATAAGGAAAATAGATACAAATGAGTATTTCCAGTCATTAATTAAAACAGTATTTTGAAAAATATGTAATGATATAAGGAAAAATTCATAAATCATTCAAGCAAAAATAAAATACAAAATTAAGATGGTAATTCACACTTTTGTTAGCATATCTAAAAATAATTTAGGAGAAAGGATAAAGGAAATATATCAAAATGGTAACAAATAACAGGCTCTAAGTGGTGCAGTTTCAGGTGATTTTCTTTTTCCTTTCTGGCCTTTTCCTGTATTTTATAATGTTTCCATTGAACGCGTATTCATGTAATAATCAAGTCTTGCAGAACCAAGACATAGCAATGTAGTAACTGGATGGATTCTGACTCTGGGGTATTACAAGTTTTGTTTTCTACCATTTTAATAAGCACAGTTTAATAGAAAATTTAAATTCTGATGTTGTTCTCTAGACAGCATTAAATAATTCTGCTTGAAATATATCAAGATTCCTTACCACAACTAAAACGCATATACAAGTAGCTAAATAATTGCATTTGCTGAAGAATTTTCTAATGCCACGGAGGTGAAGAAAGAAAAAAGAGAATAAGAGTACTTCGTGTTTATTATGTAAGTGAGCAAAATGAGAACCAAAATTAACTTAGAATTAATCTTCACTTCATAAAGAAAAAAGCCAGGGAGGAAGGAAGGCACAATGGTCGCCAATCAAGAAAGCTGTCTCAAATGCTTATGATGCATCACCATAAAATCTGCTTTTCACAGAAAACAGTCTTGTTTTACTGTTCTTTGATCAAATACTCCCAAATATTTCCTTGCTTTTCTTTTGTATAGATAATATAAACATTATTAGAGTGATTTTTAAAATAACTTATACCTCAAAATTATTTTAATACAGAGGAAATAGTGAGGAAACAACAACAAAAATTTCAAAAGAGAAACCTTAAGACTTTCCAAGAAAAAAGGCTATTAATTTCTTTTTTTTTTTTTTCTTTTTTTGAGACAAGTCTTGCTCTGTCGCCCAGGCTAGAGTGCAGTGGCACCATCTCAGCTCACCGCAAGCCCCACCTCCCAGGTTCATGCCATTCTCCTGCCTCAGTCTCCCGAGTAGCTGGGACTACAGGCGACCACCATCACACCCGGCTAATTTTTTATACTTTTAGTAGAGACGGGGTTTCACCGTGTTAGCCAGGACGCTCTCGATCTCCTGTCCTCACGATCTGCCCGCCTCCGCCTCCCAGCGTGCTGGGATTACAGGCGTGAGCCACTGCATCTGGCCAAAGGCTATTAATTTCTAACCGTAGTAATAATATTTGAAACAGATGTCTATCTACTTTCAAATCCAAACTGGATCACGGTTTACACAGTTTAATAAAACTTTAATTAAGGCTCTGCAATAGTGTAAACTGATCATGTCAAGCAACTAAACACTTGCTTAATATTAAAATCTATTCAAGCTTCACTAATGCTAAAGTTAACCAGACATTTCATAATTCATCCAAGGGAAAATGTCATTCAAATCAATAAAAACATAAAATTTATCCTCTTATTTCACTAAACTTTTTTTTAGAAGCAAGCATTTGAAATAGAGATGGAAATATCTTAAATTGGAAAAAAAGGAAACAACTTTGTTGCTAAAGAGCTTCGTTTTTGAAATTAGGCACTTATATTTCAATACGAACATTTTGCGATCAAATAATTTTTGGGCTTAGAAACATTTTACAAGAAAACAGTTTCTCCTTAAAATTGATCAATTAACTGTACATTTTCCTCATTCTGTTTTAGTAGGAGAATCTCATATAGTAACCTGGTAAAGCAGGCTGAGTGCTAATGCCATTTAAGACATCTAAAAATAAAGAACAAGAGTGAACATTTATTGAACAACTATTATGTGCCAGGTATTTCTTGTAATTCCCACATGATCCTTACTGAACTGGTATTCTTATTATCTTCATTCTACAGATGAGGACACTGAGTGGGAAAGCTGGAATACAAACTCAGATATCTGCCTCGAAAGTTCAGTATAGAACCTTCTACACTAGTTTTAGTCAAAATACAGAAGAGAATTTTTTTCCTTTTTCGTGTCCCAGAATGCAATTTTAAAACAAATGCAACAAATCATACATTTAAAAAATTCTGAGGTTCCTCATGTACTTTAAAAATGAAAATTTCCGCCATTATGAAAAAATAAAGATCAGAACCATACAAAAGAAAGTCAGTTAATCAACACTGACCAAGCATCTTTTGGGTTCTATATTCCATATTGTAAAAGATAGAGAGAGAAACAGAAGACAGGTTTTGACATTTCATACAGTTAAAACTGTGAGGATGGAAGCACACTAACAATTCAGGAAATCAGTAATTAGAAATTGATACAGTGCAGAGTACATAAGAATGGAAGATAGTGCAGGCAGAGAAAGGGAGGGACTGAGTCAACAGGAATGAGATTAACAGAATATTTTCCCAAAGTGAATTATGAATCAGGTTCCAAAGAAACAGAAAAGCACAAGAAGAAAAAATTCATAAATAAACTTATACATGTTGGGTATAAAGGTTATCCAATTTTTTTTTCATTTTTAATCCAACTTCTAAGAAAAGAGTCCACATAAAGGGGATTTGCCTTACCCTGTTTCACATTCTTTCTCATTTCTGATTAAAAGATTTTATCATCATGAACCCTAATCCATTCACTATGGACAAGAACATTTTTTCTATTTCTTAAGAACCTCAAATTTTTTCCTTAAGAGCAAACAATTCATGTAAAACAAGCAACTCTGTAGTTTTTAGTGGAGGCTTCCTATTTTATACTAAGAGCAAATGCTCCAGGATGAATTACCAGGGGCTTTGATTATCTGTCCTCTCAATTGTATTTTAGTTAGCTTGATAAATATAATTTTCCAGTTAGCAAATACTGACGTGTCATAGGGGAGGTTGCACAGAAGCATGATGAGATTAAAAATTTGGTATGGGTTATCTAGAAAATACCTCTGAAATCCCCACACATATAAAAATAATAGAGTTGACTGCTGTATGAAAATATAGTGTCTTAAAAGGAAATTACTAATCAACCTGAAAATAATAAGCACGTATCAGGTTTCCCAGACATTTTCAAGAAATCTTAACATTTAAACAATCACAGAACAGTGTGACTACATAATATTTTAGGAAAAGAATACAACAGGCATTAACTTCTCAAAGAGGGAACCAGTTCAACTGCATAACACTTCAACCTGGTTCAGTTTTTGTTTTCATATTACAAAGAGTTTTTAAAAGAGACTTCCTGTGGGAGTCAAAGAAACAAAGATAACCAATGAGATACACAGGGAAATTATCCCTTATTGATTAGTGAAAATTTGTAATCACAGAAACTAATTTATCATGTTGCTGGCAACCTCTGCGTATTTTTTATCTCTGGTAAAATTAGCCATTATAATCTAATACAGTCAAACATGAAACTGCATCTGACTTCTGAACAAAATCGTTTCAACAACTGCCTTAAAAGTTCTTAGCAAATAATTCTAAGAAAAGAATACAGTATTTATTGTGGCAGAATTATTTTCTACTAACCTAAATAATTTGCAACTCCCAAGTAATGAGTTTATTCATAAAATTGTGTAAATGGTACTCTGTATAATTATTAGATTTGTACGTATCAGTCTCATATAAAGAATTATAAAATCTTAGAGCTGAAAGGTTTAGAAGGGACTTAAGTCACAAACATTCTCTTTTGTCTCTGAAATTCCAAAAACACCAGAAGAAAAAAGATACAAAGATGAAACAGTTATGGTACCTTGCTCTAAAGGAACTAATGATATATGCTACTATTATTAACCAAGATAAGATTTTCCCATTCCAGTTGGCCAATATTCCATTTTAAGTGATCAGTCCAGATTCTAGATTATGACCTTTCCTGTCTCTCAATCGTATGCTCTTTTCAACATACTACTTGACTTCCTCTTCCGAAAAAGAGAACAGATGTAAAATGCTAAAATAAGAACAATAAATGTATTGAAACATATTACTCTATCCCATCCATTACTGTGATGAAAAATTACAAACGAAAAATTATTTGACCTGAGAAATGAGAACACAAAGAAGATTTGAATTATATGAGATTAAGAAAGTTAAAGTAAAAAATAATCAACTAGTCCTTCCTTATTATATGGTTTCATAATACAATTATGAAGGGTCATTCAATGATTTAAATGGCAGGTAAAATTAAAACAAATAAAAGGAAATACCCTTGACATGCATAACAAGCCTCCAGAATACACAAAGTCGCAGAACAGAGGTCACATCGTTAAATCCAGTAACATAATTTTAAAATAAGCTGGATCATTAGTGAAGCAAACATCTGATTATTTATGTTCAACATAAATATAATTTTCCATAATGGAAAAATTATATTTTGGAATCTAAGGAGTCACTAAGGAAGCTTTCTATTTGTTACAAATTATACTATATCTTATTACATTTTTGCAATATTTATATTCCTTTGGAAAATCAAGTGGTGACTACTGGATTAGCAAAAATGTGTTCATTTAACACACAGATAGTACCTGTAATATCAAATATTTTAAATATTAAGTATTTTAAAAAGCAAATTTGCTATTTTACTTTTAACATCATTTTAAACCTTGCTTTCCTCATAACTCCTTGGCTTTATGTAAAATATGTGTTTAATCTGGTTATTTTGGAAACTAAAGATTTCTTTTTTTACAGTAACTCTGCCTCAGCTGAACTCCACTGCCACAGCCAATAGGCCCTTCTGCATTTTGCTATGCCAAAAAATTAACAACAACATGCTGAAGACAAAGGGGAGGTCCTTTCTGGAAAAAGTGTGTGAAGATATGAAGCCCACTGGCTGGCTGGCAGATGATGACAGTATGGGCAGGCTGCAAACCAGCCTGGAAAACTGCTGCAGTCATTTCATTGCCATCCACTCTGGTGCATTCTGATGAATCAAATCAGAAGGATAAAATATAGGTAATATCTCTATTACAGATGATGACCTAGAGTCACTAAAATGTTAGAGAAAATTTAATCACAGGAGTTACAAGATGAAACTCTTCTTGAAGGTTTTTACTGTGGTTTTTAGCACATACTTTCTGGTCCTCCCTATAATTTAACATCAATCCTCCATCAAGCCATACAATGAGTGTATGTCACAGTGCTTCCTTCAAAATAATTTTTAAGTTTAAAAATATCATTTCAGACATTATCAACTGATTTCAAATGAGTCTTTTTCTTCATCTTGCATCCCTCTACCGTTAGCAAGTTACCTGGGCTATCTAGTTCCTCACATTCACTAAAATGTCACTGTAGTTAGACAATAGACGGATCAAACAGAAAAGTCAATATTAGTAAATATGTGGTAACTTTGCTCTTAAAATACACTGCCAGTACTCTCTGTATAGAAATGTTATATTAACTGAAAGGGTAGAATAAGGGAGATTACATCATTTAAAGTTCAAAATATATTTTTCCATATATTTTAAACACTGTCTCTCTTTATCCACCTCTCTCCTCAGGATATGATTGATAACCCAAGTCTTTATCTCGAAGGCTCTTTAATTATCAACCTTTCTCTGTGCTCTATCAGCACCTTCCACATGCAATTATCATCTCATACAGTTGTCACACATGTCTCCTTGCCTCAGGGGTCTTTCAAGCTCATGAACCACCAGGGCTGATTGTCAGTCATCTTTGTTTCATCAATAACCAGTATAATATCTGGCTCTAACAGACCTCCAACATTTGAGCATGGATTTAGAAGCTGAGGGTCCTACATTAGAATCCAGCACTACCACTGGCTGAACCTCACTGTGCATTAAAATCCTTCATCTGTAAAATGGGTTGACAGTAACTACTATCTTCAATGTGACAGGCCTACGCACTGCCTAGAACATATAAAAGAAAACCACCGTAGCCTCTCGGGGTTTGTATGTGTGTGTATATCTGCTTTTTCTTCCTGCTGCTACTTGTATGTACTTGCATTTCAACCATCTACATTAAGTCTCAATGTCACCTCTTTTATCCACAGCCCCTCACGTTTCCCTAATTTCGTGTTATAATTACTTCTTAGCAATTTGACAAATTTCTAAGGTCTGTGTATGCTAAAGTATAAGGTCACGGAAGAATTTAACACATATAATCATGGGAGGGGGTCTAGCTTTTCATTTTTTTTTTTTTTTTTTTTTGCAGGGCTAATCATGTCTCGGTAAGTTAAAACTTGTGTAGAGCCTCAAGGGAGAAACCAGTCAATATAATCCACTGGATTTTTTTTAAAAGCCCTTGACAAGGTACTACCACAAAAGTTATTATAATGAACTGAGTCATCATAGGATTCGATGAATTTTTACTGGAGAAACAAAGACAGTGAAAAAAGGAATTATTTTGGCAGGAAAACCATAAACAGGGAAGGTGCTGGAAGTAGCCTTAACATTTTTACAAATGATGTAAAAGAGGAAATATAGATTAAATTTTCCAGGTCTGCAAAAGATACTAAGTTTTTCCAGCATGTGAAATGCCAAGTCAGTGGGCTAACCTACAAGATCTCCAAAACTTTATGAGATTTACTAGGGGGAAAAACATCAAATAAGATTCAAACTGGAAAACTATAGGGTTACTATACTTCTCAGGATAAGGGCCTTAGTTATCATGAAAAGGAGCTAGAAGTCACCTCTGGGATAATGCATTAATAAGTTCCTGCAGCCAAAAAAGCTAACAATGACACAGACATCACTAGAGAATAGAAAATATGGTTCTCATCTAACACCAGAGTTCATCTTTACTTGAAATACTACATGCAGTTCTGGTCTAACATAGACTAGCTCTCCAAAAATATCTGCTGCTGAATAAAAAATCTATAACCTTGCTTTCGCAAAAAAAAAAAAAAAAAACAAACACAGAAACGAAGGACAATTCAAACAAATAAAAACAAATGATCAGGTGAACGACAGGATGGTCATATAAAGAAAAACAACAAAGATCAGCATTCTCTGTCTAGACAGGTGAGGGCTGCAAGGAAACATTATAGATGTGAAGACTCTACATACCCCATAAATGATGGACAGCATGGACAAAGCAGAGTGCTAAGGAAATGCTGCCATACTTCAGCTAGAATACCCACTTTGGTTGAGGAGAAATATGAAGTGAAGAAAAGAAGCTAAAATCTAATCACTTTCCAAATATAGCAGTTTCACTAATGGCTGAGCACTGTGGTTTAGACTGAGGATAACTAAGATATCAGGAGGACTTGATACCAAATTTTAAAAGTAAAATCGTAAAACACCAATTCTAGTCTTCCCTAAGATATTCCCTGATGGCATCACCTAAAGACAGAATAACAGACTGAATCAACTTCACATTTCATAAATGTTCCCACCAACTTCTCATTTTGTCTTTCCCACATTCAGTCTATTTGTGCTCTGAATTATTTTTTGGTAGTGTATCATCTGTCAATTTTTTTTTTTTTTGAGAAGGTGTTTCACTCTTGTTGCCCAGGCTGGAGTGCAATGGCACAATCTTGGCTCACTGCAACCTCCGCCTCCTGGGTTCAAGTGATTCTCCTGCCTCAGCCCTCCAGGTAGCTGGCATTACAGGCATGTGCCACCACGCCTGGCTAATTCTGTATTTTTAGTAGAGACAGGGTTTCACCATGTTGGTCAGGCTGGTCTCGAACTCCTGACCTCAAGTGATCCACCCACCTCGGCCTCCCAAAGTGCTAGGATTACAGGCGTGAGCCACCGCGCCCGGCCTCAACTGTGAATTTAAACATCTTTCTCTTTAGAGCAGGACTAGATCATCTCTTTGACACACTTTACAATATGGCATCAAAATCATTCATGTTGCATAAATATTTAATAATTCCATTTGTAAGAAAGACATTATTCACAAACTACAGATGTAAAATATTATTGTTAAACTACATTACACCTTCCAGGTTTAGGACAGATGAGCCAAAAAAGGAATTTAGAAAAGGAATTAGAGTAAGTCAGGGTGCATGCAAGTATGTTTGAAGAAAAATGTTTAAGAATGCATAACAGCTTTCAAACCACAAGTATAAACACATGAAATTTCAAATAAAAGCTAGAAAGGTGTTGATGAAAACCTGTATAATTATAGATTTTTGTATATCAAAGAGATTATATAAAGGAATAAAAAGTCTAGATCTAAGTTATATCTGCAATATATTTTATATAATACATGTCTGTGCCATTTTTAGCTATTTTTGCTATGGAAATACATTCCTTTGTTCAAAATATAAACATTTCACAAAACATTTTAAGTGAAACTACATAATCAAATGATTTCATAACAAAATAGAAATGTATCTTGCTCTTATTAGTTTATAATATTACTAAAATATATTAAGACTATGCCTACAAAATACCAAATCATCATTCCACTTACTCTAACTTAGTAACTTCCAATCAGAGAATGATGGAGTTAGTAAAGAAACTGTTGATATTCACAATAGAAATGAGTGTATTTTAATTTTTTTGGCTCAGAGAAAAAGCAGTCACATAAAATAGTGTTTTTTGATTAAGTGCAAAAGTGAGGAAGATAAAAATGAAAGGGGAGGGAAAAATGAGAAGGTGAAGAGTAAAAGAGAATGCAAATGAACATTCCTATATTGTTAGGATTTAGGGGGAAAATCGCTGCAATTCTGATAGTCGGATTGTGGTAAATAAAGCAGAGGTTTTTTGTTGTTGTTGTTGTTGTTTTTTAAGGAGAAGGTAAGTTTTCTCTTTAAACTGTTAAGTCTGAGGTATTCAAGAAATAAAGACATTAAGTTACAGTCCTTGTACCAAGCATATAAAATATATCCCATGCTGATCACAAAGAATAAACTTTAACAGCTAAAAAACTTGAAAATTGAGTTACTCAAAGCAATTTTCAATGTCTTTATGGCTCTGTAAATCAAGAGACTGCAATTAGAATATACACAAAATCTTTAATGTGCCTTGAAATATTCTGTATTTCAAGACAATGTATTTATAAGAAGTTTTGGATTATCTGCCATTTTTATAAATACCTTTTTTTTTTAGTAAGTGTCAAAAGTCAAATCGTATGAAACATTTTTTGGAAGAAGTTCATTTATATATGGCTGTTTATCTCAGTCTTAACATACTTCACAGAATGGTGAAATGATAAAATTTAAATAATTTTATTATGTTATCGAATTAAGAAGTTTTTACAACTTCTATATTTGAGGAGGAAGAATATAGTATCCATAAATATGCATAATTATGGAGCAGGAAATACATAATTTGCCTACAAAAATCACAAAAGTTTGATGACTGAAGCAAGGAGTGAATCTGGTCCATTGAGAATTACTAAGAAAAACATAATCAAACATAAATGCCACAGCATACAAAGATCATTTTCCAAATTGGTTCCAGAAATAGCTCCTAGGTTACCATGAAAAGCTAATTTAATTCAATTAAACAGTGTAGTATGGTTTTTCTCTTCAGAGAGGGTTTAAATATTTTCATTTGCTACAGATGTTAACGATAAGTATTTAAAGGAGTGATTGATTTAATCTTGAGATGCAGATTCAAAGCTGTTGAATAAGGACTTTTGAATGAAAACAACTTACTGACACATTTATTCTAACCACTAGAGCATCCACTATGTATGAAGTACACAAAGTAAAGCTCCTAACAAACAGCATGTTTGTTTACATTATGTCCTGTCATATAAATTCAATATTAATTCCTACTCAAAATTATAAGACAAGATAAAATATTTAGAGACAATGTTTGTTCCTACATATTAGTACATCATTAGAATCCTACCTCAAACATGCAATGGTGGGAAAAGATTTACAATTTAAAATTTAAATAGTAGTTAAGCTAAATTTATTTTGGAATAATTTAGGTTTCCCTGGATAATTTTTCCACGTTCATCTCAACATTATATAAATTCATTCACAGTCACTCAGGATGAGTAAGTAATGCCTCCAAAACAGCCTGGTCGTGGGTTCTTCTGAGTCCATCTGGCTTCTGGCTAGAAGACTGGAATGACTCATAAAAATGAAGCAACCTGAGGTCACCTACTCCAGGTCTTTTAAACAGAATTGCCAACTGCTTACCAGGTGGTTCCAATTTCCGAGAATACTTAAAATAAGGGAGAAACTCATTCTAGATACACCATTTTATTTTCATATTGTCTCTGGCCACAGAACTTGGTAAGGAAGGAAGCTCTTTTGAAATGTAGATTACCAATCATCTGAAGGCCAGAAATCACTGCATGTCTTGGATTGAGAATATTATATAAATAAAGTCAAGTGAAAAAGAAAGGAAGGACACAAAACCACAGTATATTATGCTCTCAATTCAGTAAAGAAAAAAAGACCCAAAATGCTAATGGTGGCTACTTCTGTGTGGTAAAAAATAATAATAATAATAAAATTAAAAAAAGAGTGACTGATTTTATTTGTTTGAGTTCCCTATGTTTCCCAAGTTCACTTCAATGAACATTCTTTACAATTAAAAAAATAACAATAAGTAACTTTTTAGAAAACATTATACACTGTAAATCTCATGCTCAGTGACCTGCAGAGGCCCAGTATATACTCACAGGTATAGGGCTGGAAGTCGTTTTCTGGGTAGTGAAGGAAAGCATTCATTTTTATCTTTAAAAAGAAAAAGAGTTTAAAAAAAAAAAAAAAAAAGACAGGAGCCGGTTTCCTGTTCTATGATGGGTGAGATAATTGTAGGAACAACTCCTGGCAGTAAGAATGATCCCTTCATTTCAGGAGATAATAAACTGATGAAAATGTTTAGCCAATTGTTTGTATCAATTTTTTTCCCATAGTTCTGAGGAACATAAATCCAATGATATACACAGGGAAAAATACAAGTCCCATGATCAAATACCACTTTTGGGGACTGTCAATATTAATGCATGTTAATACAACAAAGGCTCAGAAAGGGTTGCAATTTAAAAACATCAGAAATTGCCAGATTTCATTATTTACTTGCTTATCAAACGCTTGTGTTTACTATGTACCTATCACTGTTCTAAACACTTTAAAAATCAAAATTCTAATTCTCAAACATCCCTATGATGTAAATACTATTATTGTCATTGACATTTTACAGATGATGAAACAAAAACACAGAAGGTGCAGGAACTTGCCCAAGGTCTCACAACTCGGAAATGATACAGCCACGATTCAAACCTAGACAAACTCCCACAGTTAACCAGGAGGCTATGCTGCCATCCATAAGATCCCTCTTGGGCTGCACACCTAACATTCCACGAAACCACTGTTCCATGAAACACACTGGGAAAACAAATGCAATCAGGTAAAACATACTGTTATATGCAAATTCCTTATCTGGATTAGTCGAATAGCTCATATTACCTCAAACCCCAATTTTTCATTTACTATGTGACAAAGTAGAAATAACAGTTATGTTAGACCTCAAAAAAATTCTAGAATGTAATTATTAAACGAGAGATTTGATTAAATTATGTCCCCTCTCTGTTGTCATTTAATTTTATTAGGCATCACAATTCAAACAGATATATTCTCAAGTGCCTCTTAATTTCTAGAGGTTTTTGTGTGGCAAGATTATTGGCCCACTTTTCTTCTTCATGTCTATCAAACTTTTAAAATAGTCTACGAAATATAACGAGCAGGGAGATGAGGAACTCTGTGATCTTTAACTATCAGATTACACATTAAATATGTTTCAGAATGCATACATTGATGTAGATGGGGTTACTGATGCATGATTAAATTCAAAACGAAAGTCACAAAATGATACAGATGATCTTATTTTCATTTAAAAATACATAGTAATGCATAAGAAAATTCTTAAGGGATACACACACACATACATATATACAAAACTATTAATTTTAGGTAATAGTATAAAGCACTTTATTTTCTTAAGGTTTATATGAAATTTCTAATTTTCCTGCCAAGATTTATTGTTTGTGTCATCATTGGGAAAAGCTTTTAATATTCAAATATTAAGAGCCTGAATAATATATGCAGGTTAACAAGAGCCACTTAGACATGCCCTGCCTTTCAGTTGCTTGTGATCTTCAGTAAATGATAGTCCCCCCGTTACTCTCTACTGCTGCACCGTTTATTTTTTTAAATAAACCTAATCACAAACCTAAATTGTAACTATTATGTATAGTTGTTTATTTCCTGCCCCCTTCCCAGTCCTCCCAAATAGTGGCAAACATCCACCTTTTTGTATCCACAATGCCTAGTACAGTGCCTGGTCCTAAACAGTGAATCTATAAAGATGCACTGCATTTGTGAAAGAGTGAAGGAAACAAAGCACATGGATAGAAGATATACAGACTATCAAGTCACGAGATGTTCCAATAAACTGATTGACAGTATTTATATAAGAATTTAGGTTTCATGGACAGAAGCATATAATTTGGGGTGGAAAGCAGATGTCCAAAACAGGTAAGGGAGTACGACTGTTCTTATCAATCCAAGAAGACTCCAAAGAGCAGGCTTTCAGAAGCTGAATCAACAGAAAATAGGACTTTAATTGACACAGCTCCTGATAAGCTGAGGGAATTTATTTATAAACAGACAATGTAACAGGGTGTGGGCAGTAGTGGAAAAGAACCCCAAGGGTATTGCAGTAAATCCAGGTTAGCAAAAGCAGGGAAGTTATTCGAGATTACCAGAATCTGGAAAGAAAGAGTTATATAGAGAAGAATACCTTGGGAAGAGCAATGACTTTCAGTGCAGGAATACAGGCAGCCCAAACTGATCTCACAAAAAGGGAGCCAAGGAAATAAATACCCTCACTCCCCACCCTCCCTCTACTCTCTGCTGTGGCTCCCCAGTGACCTACGTTTTTTGGAAGTCAAAGTTGTTCATCCAGGTTATTTTCCCTGCAGACAGCATGAGGTAGAAGGGCTGAGAGTGGTTCTGGAGTGGCAACCAAAATATATCTGACATAGAAGCCAATGGTAATAAGAACAGTTTTGGCAAAATGGGGCAAAACAGAATATTCAGATACAGAAGAAACTCTTGACAAATTGAAGAAGATCAAAAGAAACAGTGGAAGAAAATTACTAGATACATAAAAATGAAATGATGCCACAACTGTCTGCAAGCCCATCTGAGCACTGCACCACGTTCCATAATAAAGGGAAGGATTTCAGGACAATCCTCCATTATGTGGACTATCATGGCTAAATGTGTATTGGAAAACAGAAAAGTAGCTAGTTTCAGAAAAAAGAATTGATGATAATTTAATACATTTTATAGATGGTCATAAAGTGTACTAGTTAGATAAAATTCACTGATTTCTATCAAGAGATTAATTTAGACAAAGGCAACATCATTACAGACTTCCTTGGAAACATTTTACATTCGTAAATCATCAAATTAACTAGTGACAGATGTGTCTGTACTTGTTTAAGTTCATATCTATCTAACTGCTATAAAAATGACTAAAATGTTTATCTCAAGACAGCCAGGCAAGAAACGTTATAAACAGATATACTGGATTGTATCTTTTTTTTCCTTTAGCCGATAAGTAAATACAATCTCCAGAAAATTCATTTCCAAACTTGCTACTTAATATCTTCCAAAGCTGACGCCACATGCAGCCATATCCTTGTTGAAAGACAGGAAAAAATAAAATTGGCTGAATCAAAACTACTGGCCTCTAAAGGAGTGCATCCAACAGCACTGCACAACTATTTACTGAATGCCTACTATGTCCTAGCACTTTGCAAGGGGCGGGAGTACAATGATGTGTAACATCCCGATCTAACAATGCAGACTTTATAATGAATTCTTTCAAGAAGCATCCAAAGTTTCCAAAGCTGAGGGTTAGAGGAAAATGACACTCAGACCTAATTAGAGGAATTCTGCCTCACTTCCCTTTTTTTATACTGACACACTTTACTGAAAATGAAGAGATGCTCATTCAAGGATGCTCACCACTCTGCTTTTCAGAAAGAACCAAGCGTCTCAGTGTAGTCCAGGAATCATCTCTAGCACTAAGAACCTTACTGCAACACTTCCTAGGACATACTATAGGCTCTCACGTGGAAGAAGCTTGCAGCCCATGAGATATTTGAGGTGAAGTAAAGAAGTGGTATCTGGGAACTCTAAGAAGGTGCTGAGGTCTGAAATTCAAAAGTAAAAGTAACTATTGAACCAGTGAATTGCTGCAATGTAGATCCTGGCACACCCCCAGCCCCCAGCCCCGCAAAAAAAAAAAAACAAAAACTGATGATTCAACTCCATGATTCTTCTATTCCACGATAAGAACAATGTCTGATCAATCTCTCAAGGTTCCACCCTTGGCCAAGCCAACAAACTCTCAGCTACATCATTTTCATAGCCACCCACATGGCCTTATTCAGGTACTCTTGCTCACACTATATACAGACATGCTAAATCATATTTGTTCACTTCTCTGTTTAAAATCCTCCAGGGTGTTCAACAGAATGTACTTTGAATAAAATACATATTTTATACTACGAACCTCGCCACCTCTCTGACCTCATTCCTATCACTTCCTCTAATTGCCTGAGTCCAGCCTCCCTGGCCAGTGAGTGCCTAGCTTGCTACTTTTAGAGACAACCCTAGTGCGTCCTCTGATAGGAAGTTCTTTCAGATCTTCACGGGGTTGGCTCTTTCTTGTTACTCAAGAATATCCTTACAGAGGCCTTCCTTGACCACCTCATATAAAATAGCCCAGTCACATGCTGTCTTATCACCCTGTCTTGTTTTCCTAATGGCAAATTTCACTATTGGAAATAATCTTATTCATGTGTTTGTGGATAGCTGATTGTGTTTTCACTCTCTACAAGTTCAATGACAGCAAGGATCTGTGTCTCTTATAGTCACAGTGTCCCCACAGTGTATAACAGTGCCACACACAGAGTAGGCATTCAAACATTTAAGTAAAAATGAATGTAATTAGAATATTGGCATGTAAGTGGATGTCCTGAACATCATGAAAACAAATTATTGCCTGATGTAAATTATACATTATCCCTTCTTACCACTGTGATGGGCTTTAAAAATACCCAGAAATAACATAACAAAATGTCCTTTTTGTCTACTCCTAAATCTTGGCTTCTCTCTGTACTCTATGCCTAAAAAGTTTTATTTTCACTCAATTTAAGTTATTAAGTCATATAAGCGACTTTTTAATCTACCTTTCTAGCCGCAACCCCTCCTTTCCCTGAATTCTGGCCTGCCTATACATATCTCAACAATTCTACTTCAGTTTCTGCCATCATATAAAATTCAGCATATGGAAACCTGAAATTATTAATAGTATCTCTAAGGCAAAATCAGTTTTTCCTTCTGTCTTTAATACTTTCACCAACCATCCTCTGAATACCCATATTTAAAAGCTAAAAATGATCTTGATTATGAAATTCAAGAACTGGAAGAGGGACTGGAGGACAACAAGTAAAGTGGTCTTCAAGTTTTTTTAAAGCTGTGTTAGCCTTTTTTAAAACAAAAGCTTACCAGGAAGTCTGATATGTAAAACAGATGAATTTGCAGTTGTTCTGGGAGTTAAACTGGTAGTCTCTGAAGAAAACTTCAAAAAGAACCACTAATCTGGTCCAAACTTCCTTTTTCTTCTCCCTAACCCCCTTCAACACACACACACACACACACACACACACACACACACACACACACACAGAATTATACAGCGGAAAATGTAAGTCCAGAGAGCTTAAATCTTCTTTGCAGGTAAGAAATAGTAATTCTGCCCAACACAGTTATCACCCAGAACAATGCCTACCACATAGAAATAATTTAGGAGTCAAGGTTCTTAAAGATCGGTGTTACCTCCATGCTTACATGCATCAGAAATGATTATCAGTTATTGCAAAGTGATACATTTCATGCACGGCTTTTATTGGATGACATGAAAAGAAATCTTCAGAGTTTAGAGTAAAACTTACAGCTTCTAATTATAGACATATTTACCCACTTCTAGTGAAAGAAGTCAAACATGAGTCCAGTGAAAAGAATTGTGGCACCGTGAAAAAAGTAAAGTCTCAATTCCATAGCCATCCTAGCCTCACTTTCTATTTCTGAGCATGGTTTTTCAAACTCTCTGGGCCTCATCCTCTTCATCTTTAATATTATTAATGTGTGTGATGACATGCTAAGACTCTTTCAATCCTAAGTCTATGATCTGCTATTACACTATTCTTAAGTATTTTCCTTGAGCTACTGCATCCACAAAGAATCAGTATCACAAGTTAGAGGTAATTTGGAAAAGAACCAATCGTCCTACAAGGATTTCTTGAGTATCTATCACATACCAGGTACTGTGCTGGGCATCTGAAATTCAGAGAAAAAGAAACAAGGGACACTATCTCACCTCAATGAGATAACAGTCCAACAAGGAAGCGCCAAGCAAGTAACCATACAGCACAGAGGTGGACACCGAAAGAGGGGCACTCAGAAGCCTGAGAGGCAGAGGCAGTGGTGAGGGGGCTTCTGAAAATCAGGAAGGCTCTGCTAGGTTGGAGTAGGTGACAACTGACTTTAGATTTGGATGATAAATACGATTTGAGTGCTCAGAAAGAGCTGGAGGAGGTGCTATATGTGGCAAAAGATAAGCACATTTTAAACTGCCTTATACTTTTAAACAAATAATAATAAATCAGCATTTACTGTAATAAAAATACTTTATCAGGCCATCTCACACAGTTCCCAAAGCTTATGAGGAAAAATTTAAGTCAATTTCCTTTTAATAAATATTATTTAACGACTGGAACATTTAGAGAAACATACATAAGCAGGCCGTGGCAGCACGTCACTCAGGGACAATAATCTAACAGGGAATTTCAGACAACCTAGCCTAGACTAAATGCTGGGCAGCACCTGGCAGACAAGGTGGCAAAGCCCCTATAAATAGTGATGATTCACTAACATGACATAAATCAAGATTTTAACTCACCAAAAACTAACATTTTGATTTAAAAACACAAATCAGTGCCATTAAAATTCATCAGCGGCCCCTAGCACATGAGTAATGAGATCATATCAACTTATATCATGTAACTAAAAGGAAAAGGTGGTTTTCTAAATGGTAATTCAGATTGGACAAATAACACACTGTATCAAGTTTTGTAGCTCTAGGCCATATTTTGCTAAACACAAAGGTACATTATGCATGACTAAAGAAAACAGTGAAAATCAGAGCAATTAATTTCCCAGCTATGTTTCCCATAAAAAGACATCACTACTATGATCTGCTTATAACACAAACTTTTTTGCATTGCACAATGATCTAAGTGTGTAATAACTTACATATTTCACTAAGATGTAACATCCTTCAAAACATCCTTATAATGAAAGTTTTCCAAAAACATTATTGATCACCGGCATGTCTCATGTTTTAAAATTACTGACGAATCCTTTACTATTTTCTTTACAGCTAGAAATAATTCTTCTTGATCACTAGAGTGTAAAGGGGTATAAAGTACAAAGACTGAATATTTTCTTAAATACTAACATCCCAGTTGACACAGGACATTTCCCATAACTTGCCCAAAACAATAATTAGGAGAGTTGTCACTGGAATCCTAAAAATATATGTAAGAAAACAGAGATTCGTTGGCATCAATTTAGCACAGCAAGAGATTTCCATTAAGTGCTTTTTCAAATTATTTGCAAACACTTTTTAGCTGAACCCTCTCATTTCCAGTGGAGCCTTTTATGTTTCTTTGCAGAACTCAAGAACCTTTTCTCAGGTGGCTCTGCTTTGCTGCAGGTAAGTTTGGTATTAACACATTTTCTTTATCTGTTGGAGGTAGTGAAACGGCTCTCTTCCTCCGTTGTCTTTCACTGGCACCTTTGTGGCCGCTCGTAGTCACTGACCTCACCTTGCTGGAAAGGTGGCTAAGAAAAGAGCAGTTTCTAATAACTCAAGGGAACTGCAGCGTTTCCATTCAGAACAAACAGCAGGACCCAGCTGGAGGGGTGCAGCTCTAAAGAAGTAAGACCCGCACCACAGCGGACAACTTCCAGAGGCTCTTCTCCAACACCGCCAAACACAGGCGGAAACACGGAGCCTGGACAGAAAGAGGGACGAGCAGAGAGATGGGCGCAGAGAGCAAGAGACAGGGGAGCCAGGAAGACCGGGAGCGAAAGCCTCTTGAGAGAGAGAGAGAGACCAAAAGATTGTGCGAAAGTGACAGAGGGAAGAGGATGAAGGGACAGAGGAGGGACACACTGGGAGAGCCAGAGCAGGCGGTGGGGAGAGGGAGACAGACGCACGGAAGGAAAGAGAGACCGGGGGGAGAGGCAAAGGATAGCAATAAGGAGAGGAAGGGAGAAAGGAAGAAAAGGGAGAGAATGAAAGACCCAGAACTTGAGAGAGAGGCATAGAGAGAGAGAAGCAGGAGAGAGAGGAGAAGAGACAGGCAACTGAAGCAGAGACGGAGCCCAGTCCAAGGCGCCGGGACCAGCCCGCTGCGCACTTTCCCCCACGGCAAGGCTGGGTCTCGGGAGGCGTCCGGGGCAGGTGGGTGCCTGCGGGTCCCGCCTGGGCTGGCCCTGGGCCCCCGCCCCGCCGGGCTCCCTCCCATTTCCCGGATTCCGCGACTGCCCTCAGCTCGCCCTCCCGCCCCATCCCTCCGCTCGCAGGTCCGACTCCCTGCCTTGGGGCGTCCCTACAGCCCGAAGCACGTGTCCCGCCCGCCGCCGCCGCTGCCCCGACTCCTCGCCTGCGCAGGCACGAGGCCTCGGGGTCCCGGCAGAGCCGCCCGCGCACAAAGCCGAGGCGGCCACCGCCTGACCCCCTCCCCGCCGCCGCCACCGCCCCACGGCCGCGCAGCCCGCCCTCGCTCTCGCCCTCTCCCTCGCGCGCTCCGTCCTGCCTAGGGCGACCGCCGCCCAGCTCCGCACCCAGCCGCTACCCGTCCCGCGCCGCCCCTCGCTCTGCCCGGCTCTCGCCGGCTCGGCCGCCTCCCGCGCGCTCGGGAACTCGGCCACCCGCAGGGGACGGGGCCCCGCCGCGCGCGCCTTACCCGCGGCTGCGCTCCCGGCTCCCGCGTCCTCAGCGCCGCGGTCTCCGCACTGCCCGGCGTCCCGCGAGGCCCCGCCGACTCCGCGCCCCGCGCCCGGCTGCGCCGTCAACTTCTGGCCGCCGCGGCCGCTCCGCCGCCGCCGCCGCCGCCACCGCGGGACTTTTTTTTTTTTTTTTTTTTTTTTTCCCTCTCGCTCCTCGGCTGCCTCTGGAATTTTTTTTTTTCACTTGCCCTCTCCAGCTCCCACTAGTGATTGGAGACTGAGAGCCAAGTACTTAGCGGAGGGATTACACTTCTCAACGCACTTGGAGCGGCCCCAGCGCCGCCGCCTGTGTGCGGAGTGCGGAGCCGACTTGGGGAGCGGCGGGGTGCGGGCCGGAGGCAGCCCGGGTACAGGGGTGCGCTTCCCAAGCCCCGTCCGCTGCTCAGAGCATCCCCAAGATTTCCCTCATGGGTCCTGTCCTGGTTGTTTAAGAAGGTTTCCAGAAAACCTCCTGGTTTGAAGAACAAAGATTCGTGGAATTATTGTACCTTGAGAGCTGGAAAGGGCTCGCAGAGATGATATAATGTCGTGGATTTCAACTTTTCGGGGCCATAGACACTTTTCAGAAATTGATAAAACGTTGACACACCTTGTAAAAAATGAACACATTAAAATTAAGCCTGCAGTTTGAGGTGGGGGTTTTAAGAATCTTGAAATATATACAGTTGAGCGTCCAAGGGAAATGAAATATTTCCCTTCTACATATTTTTTGAAACCGTTAAACGAAAACAACCACCAAAAAATTAAAAATAAAAAAATAAAACCCAAAAGAGAAAACCCATTCCATTTGTATTTGATGACAGTTTACAGTTAGTCGTGTTTCTTTTGGAAAAGTATGTAACGTCTTATACTTTGTGGTCTCCTTGCTAAGTCTTTAAGTGTTGAAACACTTTCTAAGTGGGTAAATATAAAGTAAGCTAGTTCACAGTCAGAAATTTGGGGAGAATAGTTAACCTCTTTAAAATCAGCCATTTTGCCAACTCTATTTCCCAGGGAGATATCTCGTGACTTCCAAATACTCTTTTCCTTTCAATACCTTTCAGCTTCCCACTCTCCAGCATTACTTATTTTCTCCTTCTGTAAAATTTTTTTCCTCCAAAATATTGACAAACAGTCTCTGGTCACCACCAAGTGTGTGATCTAAGTCATTTTTTTTTTTAACAGTTTTTCACCCTGAAGTAACTTTCTTCCAATTTTCTTCATATCTATTTCTATATTCAATTCTTAGCCTACTATTTTCTTTCAACTACTCCCTTTTCTTAAATTGTTTCTATTAAATCTTTTTTAAACATTAAATGTAATCTTTTTGCACTTATCAATAAAAAATTCATTTGTGTATCAATTTATTTTATGCAGCTTGCACTTAAAGCAGGCGGTGCCCCCAGTGTTTATTGAGTGTATGAAGATGTGGTCATGTTTTTTCTATAAAAGCAATGTTAGAGTCTCCACAAAGGTCTTTTTGCCCCATGATATATCTGCATTGTGATTTCTAATGCCAAACTGGAAGAAGAAAGGTATCTGAAAGAAAATTTCCAAAACAAGTGAAATTAGTCATTGACATCATCTGACCTTCCTTATTCAACCACTGTTCCAGTCCCCAGTACCAGTACTCATCCTCTTGCCCCAAGAATTCCAAGATAAAATCCATTCATTTTACTCTCATCCCAATTCTTCTCTGATACCCTCACTCCCACCCCTTCCCTTTTCCACCTCCTTTCTTTCAAAACAATAAAGCATATGACTACCTAAATTACCTTCTACCTGGTCCTCAATCCAATTTTTCATCATCTCCATCCTCATATTAACTAAGTGTTTTGTGGGGAGAAGGGGGCTTGAAGACACGGAAATTATAACTTCTACACCATTAAAATAAAAGACAAAGCAAGGAATTATGAGCTATTATGTAATTAACTAAAAATAATAAATTATCGAAAATGAAATGTGAGTTTAGAAATATGAGTTTTAAATATTGAAAATAAGATACCAAATTATAATTCATTACAGAGCTTATGATTGTATACATAGAAAAGCTTAGAGAATTTACTGGAAATCCATAGAACTAAAAATGTAATGTGTTGATCATTGTCAATATCTCATCAACATTAAGCAAGTTTAAAGAGGAAAGAAACCTGATTGAATCTATCCTTTCTACTGTGTGAATTACTGATAATTTGTATTTGACAGCTGTATAATCTCCCTTAGAATTGGAGCACTCATAAACTGCAGTGAAATAAAGCAGACATTATGCAGAATGTTTTGGAGCTAGTGGTATTGTCACCTGTATCTTTTCAGAAGTTGCACTAAGGATTATCTTTCCTTGGCTTAACTCCTCCATTCAGCAAATATCCTTCAGAGAATCTGCTGGGTATAAGATACTGATTCAGGGAATACAGGCATCTCTGGATAGAGAAGACACAGATTCCACTTCAATCAACTTGCAGACAAGGAGACAGATTTTTTTAAATACCTTGTTTAAATATATTTTTTAAAATTCCAAATCAGAGAACAAAGGAAATTCCTGTAGGTCTTTGGGATGAAAAAAAAAAAGCACTCCAGGTGGGAGAAAATGGGGTACAGGGGAAACTGTGTTTGAGGTGGGCCTTAGATGGTAACATTTCTGTAAGCAGGAATGGGGAGCCTTGGAAAGAAGCTATTCAAAAATCAACATTTTTGAGTGCCTATGACAAACCAAGTCCTGGTATTTGAGAGGCAAACTCTGTCCATTCCTTCTTGAAACTCATAATACAGAAGAAACAAGATACTTAAAAAATATATAGAACTTTCTATGAGAAGTGCATTAATGCATGAACACACAATTTTTGGAGCATAGAAAAATGAACTATTCTGCCTAGAAATCTCAGGAAAACCTTCCTAGAGTAGTCACATTTCATAAGGGTCCTGAAGGATCTTTAGAGATCAAAGCGGGGCTAGAAAGAGAATAAACATCCTAAGCAAGGAGAACCCTATGAAAAAGCATGGCGTGTTTAGAGAACAGCTGGTATCTCAGTGCTGCTATCCAAGTGATGAGGAGAAGGTGCAGCAGATGACTCTCTTAGGCTAAGCAGGGTTCAGAAATAACCTTCTCAAACATACTAATGAAATTGATTTTTTCCTTATTAGGTAATGGAGAAGCACTGGAGATTTGTAAGCCACGGAGTCAAATGGTGGACTGGGATTTTCAGGAGATCATTTAGAGGTACCTGGAGAGGGAGAAATGAAAGCACAAAACTAATTAAGGGTCTGTCATTGAAAGAAGGAATACTTGAACCAAGACAATGGTGTAACTACCAAGACAGCAGACTCAAAAGACACTTCCTATATTGCTAACTGTAGCCTTGGATTTTGGTGCCTTTAAAGGCCATAGGAGCCAGATGTGGTGGCATATGCATGTAGTCACAGATACTCAGAGGCAGAGGTGGGAGGATCCCTTGAGTTCAAGACCAGCCTGAGCAACATAGTGAGACCCCCACATGCCCACACCATATCTAAATAAATAAATAAGTAAATAGAGACCACTGGGGGGAGAAGAATAGAAAGGAGGGGCTTCATTGGGTGCATGACAAATTTTAGCAAAAGCAAGATTTTTTTCCCCTCTGCTTCTACATAAGGAAACCAGGGCAGTGTATATAGGACTCTCAAACACTTGCAGGCATATTTCCCATTAAGAAAGACATTTGCCCAGGCCCACTGGAATTGAACTATTTGGGGAATTTATAAGTAGAGAAATAGGACAGACCTGGGGACACAGCTTGCTTCTATGCTGTCAGCCTCCCCTTCTCCTTCCTCTTCATGGATATCCTCACTCCTACCACTTTCCTTTTCCACCCCCCTCTTCTCTCAAAACTGAAGGTAAAGGATTTGACCACCATTAATATATTGTCATAAATCAAGGCATACAATGCTAAGTAACATTCTAGAACATGTGCTTTTAAACTATTTCTCTCTAATTGTGGAATAAAAGTCTGCCTCTTTTCAGGTATGGTATTTTAGGAATCAGGTGAAGGAAATATTTTTCAGTGTAAGAAAGAGATCTTTTTCTTGCTCTTCTGTTCCTACTGCTGTGGTTGTCTTATTGTCCACTGCTACATGTTGACTCTACATATACAAAATAAGTGGTTAAGCCTCTCAACAAACAGAGTATTTAAATTTTTGCTTGTTAATATAATAACTTGGTGAAATGTGTACCTTCCATAATAAAAGCCACATTTATGGAGTGGTTACCATGATACAGGCACACTACTAAGTAGCTCACATTTATTATCAACCTGAGGCCTCATAATAAGGTATTATTTTATTTCCATTTTACAACTGAGGAAAGCAAGGCACAGAGAAGTTAGATAACATTCCCACGGCCATGCTAGAAATTGGAAGAGGCAGGATTTAAACATGAATTGTCTGGCTGCAGCATCTCAGTCTTAACCAGTGCACTAAACTGCTTCTATAGCACTGAGAATGTTTTTTGGTTTTTGTTTTTTGAGATGGAGTCTCACTCTGTTGCCCAGACTGGAGTGCAGTGGTGTGATCTCGGCTCATTGCAATCTTTGCCTCCCAAGTTTCAAGCGATTCTCCTGCCTCAGCCTCCCAAGTAACTGGGATTACAGGTGTGCACCACCACACCCAGTTCATTTTTGTATTTTAAGTAGAGACAAAGTTTCACCACTTTTGGCCAGGCTGGTCTCGAACTCCTGACCTCAGGCCATCTGCCCGCCTCGGCCTCCCAAAGTGCTGGGATTACAGGCATGAGCCGCTGCACCCAGCTGATAATTTTTTAAGTAGACATTGAACAGACACTATACAAAAATACGTGAAGATCTTGAATCTAAGATAATGTGTGCATTTGATCTTAGAACATATGGAAAAGCAGGGTACTTGAGTCCTCTATATTTCATTAAAGGCATTTTTGAGGTTCTGAAAGCTAGCTGCTGGGGGAAGAAGCTGGTGATAGCAGAGACCTGGGAAGCAATGAGGTCTGTGGCTTTTAAAACTCCCCTCTCTGGGTCAGTGCTTAATCACCTTGCCTATGCCTTTTGCCAAGTTGTAAGCTTCTTTAGGATCTTTTCCCTGTCTTTTACTACTCTCCCCCGGTTTTCCTAGCTAGAAATGGGTGCTTTTAGCTCAAAAGCAGATTTTTGCATGTTGTGCTGTGGATTGCATCATAAGGTAGCAAGACTTCCCTCACAGAAGCATTTAGCACAGGTAGAGATGGGATATTGTGGAAGGAGATCGTGCCTACAAGGGGTTGAAGGACAGACTCTAAAATTCTCTAAGACTCCTTTCTACTTTATGATTCTGTATTTAACATATTATGAATAATTTCAGTATTAACACAAATATCAATACAAATATAATTTTATATAATTTATATAAATGCTGTTAGTCATGTGAATATGGATATTGATTCACATTAATGCATATTATTTATTGTGAATTATTTAATATGAATTAATGTATTTCTTGTTTGTTTGAGACAGAGCCTCACTCTGTCACCGAGGCTGGAGTGCAGTGGCAAGATGTCAGCTCACAGCAACCTCCACCTCCTGGGTTCAAGCAATTCTTGTGCCTCAGTCTCTGAAGTAGCTGGAATTACAGGCATGTGCCACCATGCCCAGATAATTTTTGTATTTTTAGTAGAGACGGAGTTTGATCATGTTGGCCAGGCTGGTCTCAAACTACTGACCTCAAGTGATCCACTCACCTTGGCCTCCCAAAGTGCTGGAATTACATGGGTGAGTCACTGTACCCAGCCTGAATTAATATATTTCTAAATATATTAATATATTTTCTGATTCTGGTATATAATATGTCAGTGATAACCTCACAATTAAAATACACATCAAATTACTCTCATATCTACTATATTTTCTGCTGATCATTTTATTTGGTTTTATATAAAACAACTGTGATTATATATGGGAAGAAATAACACAGAAATTCTAGTTCTGTAGCAATTTAATTTTGTCTAATATGTAAGTTAAAGAAAAATAGAACTCCTCAACTGAAACAGAAACAAGCCATAAACTATGAAAACATCTGAAGTAGCTAAGCTACTGGTTCTGTTTTTAAAAAGAAAAAAATATCTTTGGTAGGCCAAGATGGGAGGATCCCTGGAAGCCAGGAGTTTGAGACCAGCCTGGGCAACATAGGGAGATCCCGTCTCTAAAAAAAAATTTTAAAAACAGTTGGGTGTGGTGGCATATGCTTGTAGTCCTAGCTACTCAGGAGACTGAGGAAGGAGGACTGATTGACACCAGGAGTTTGAGGCTGCACTGAGCAATGATCAATCCACTGCCTGGGCAACAGAACAACACCTGTCTCACTTATAAAAAAAAAAAAAAAAAAAAAAAAAGAAGGCTGGGCACAGTGGCTCACGCCTGTAATCCCAGCACTTTGGGAGGCCGAGATGGGCAGATCACGAGGTCAGGAGATCGAGACCATCCTGGCTAACATAGTGAAACCCCATCTCTACTAAACAAATTACAAAAAATTAGCCTGGCATGGTGGCGGGTGCCTGTAGTCCCAGCTATTTGGGAGGCTGAGGCAGGAGAATGGCGTGAACCCAGGAGGCAGAGCTTGCAGTGAGCTGAGATGGCGCCACTGCACTCCAGCCTTGGTGATAGAGAGAGACTCCGTCTCAAAAAAGAAAAAAAGAAAAAACTGAAGTAGAAATGTTAAAATGATTTTACTTTTTTTTTTGCTGTCAACATTGTTCCAACTTTTCTTAATAAAAGCGGATATTATACCCACATGTTTATATGCTGCCAAATTACGCAGGGCTTGATAATAAACTAATCTCTTTGAAGTCACATTTGAATACAATGTCATATTAATATTGTTTTTTGAATTTTCAAACATTTCTAAAGCTAGAGCATCTTTTATTCTGAACCATCCTAATCCATACACCTACATGATTCCTAAAACTAGAAAATAAGGAAAAAATTCTGTAACAAAACTTATAAAAATAATTCCTACATCTGTTTCTTTAGAGTCTCATGTTCCTGATGACTTTTTCCTTCTAAAATGATTTGCCAACCTTGGAACTTTTCAGTGTTTTCCCTGACTCACAGTATATTTACAGTGTGTGCCTCAGGAAGAAATATACAGCAACTATTTCCTTCTGTACTAGAAAAAAACACAGAAAAGTTAGGTAACAAAAACAGATGAAGAGCAATTTTCTGATTAAACTACCTGAAAAGGATGAGTTTACTAAAAACTTATTAACTAAAAACCTATTCTTTCCATCAGACTCTCTTAAATTGATATAATTATTTAAGGCTAGTAGAGAAAAGAAATTTAAATTCTATTCCATAATTTTAGAGACTGTGCCTTATTTAAATTCATAAAGCTTTTAACATGGTGTTAATATCAGAAATAATATTGAATATTACCACATTAACTATAAGACATTGTAGGAATTCCTTTTCGATATTCCTAATTGTAAGACTAATGTCTGCATTGAAATATGGACTGTGAAGATACTCATGGAAAGCTATACAGATTTCCATCCTACAAAACCACGAAGACAGTGATGTCCAGGACATACTGCAGGATGAAGCCCCAACCTCTTTGGCAATATTCAAGGAAACTTGGAAGTTTCATGCTACTTTTAATGGAAAGGAAAATGACAGAACCAAAGTCAAAGGAGGAAAGACAAAAAAGAGAGAAAATGAGTCCTCTGTGTAACAACAACAACAAAAATAGGAATGAAGGAAAAAAAGATCAAAGAGGAAATCACATTCTAAAATACATCTTTTCTTTCTAGTGGCAGAATTTTGTTTTAACACACAAAGTCAAACTTGTGATTTTGTTAAGTAGCACTATTCATTAACACAAGCTAGATATTTACATAGTAAGTCAGAATAGCATGAAGTATTGAAGATCTGATTGTAACTCACCTGCTTAAAAACTGTAAAAGTTCTCATTTGCCTACAGAATAAACCCGTAACATTCTGGAAGGACTTTCAGAGCCCATGCTGATCTGGTCTCAGCATTTTTTTTCCAGACATGTCTTCTCCCAAATATTCTAGCCCCACAGACTGCTTGCCAACTATTTTTACACCTCCCACCATTTCTCCTGCCTGTTATACTGTCTGGCCCTTTTCATCATCTGGCCTTCACCTTCTAGACCCTTTCATCATCTGGCCTTCACCTTCTAGACCCTAGTCAAGTGTCTTTTCACTCATAAAATATTTCTTTCTCTAAGAATATTGTTAACTGTTTCTCACACTTCTACATTATCACTGTCGTGTATTTTATACCTTTGCATATTCTTTTTATTTCTTTTTTTTTTTTTTTTTTTTTGAGACTGAGTCTCGCTCTTGTTGCCCAGGCTGGAGTGCAGTGGCACGATCTCAGCTCACTGCAACCTCTGCCTCCCGGGTTCAAGCTATTCTCCTGCCTCAGCCTCCTGAGTAGCTGGGATTACAGGCGCCCACCACCACACCTGGCTAATTTTTGTACTTTAAGTAGAGACAGGGGTTCACCGTGTTGGCCAGGCTGGTCTTGAACTCCTGATCTCAGGTGATCGGCCTGCCTTGGCCTCCCAAAGTGCTGGGATTACAGGCGTGAGCCACTGCGCCTGGCCTCTTAGCACATTCTTAACACACAGTAGTGTTCCTGGCATATAATAGGTGCTCAACATACCTTGGCTATTGAATGACAACAGAACCTCACAGTTGAGTTAAAAAACCATGAAGCCGAATCTTAGAACATCTATAGACTCCCAACTATATTGGCCACCCCAAAAAAGATCTTTTGAAACAAAGGTTAGCATCCTATAAATGGGCTGTGTAGGCAGCAAGGATATAGGGTTTTGTTTCTAGTTTATAAATATTTTAAATTAATTTTTTTAAACACAGGAATAAAAACCTACACAAGTTTATTTACTGCAAGGCTAGGGCAAGCAGTAGAGTGGTGCAAAATGGCACCAGTGTGACCTGAGTAGAAATTTGAATGAGGTGTGAGATGGGAAGGGCCCAGATGATGCAAGTCTAGTTAATCATGGGAGTTGCTATCTGGGGCGAGGTGGGCATGATGGTAAAATTTCTTTATTCCTGGCTGAGGAATTCAAAGACTATCATCTTCAACAGGTAGAAAACAGACATCAAATCATCATCATATTGCTGGCCAGGCATGGTGGCTCACGCCTGTAATCCCAGCACTTTGGGAGGCCAAGGCAGGTGGATCACTTGAGGTCAGGAGTTCAAGACTGTCTAGCCAACATGGTGAAAATACAAAAACTAACCGGGTGTGGTTGCTTGCACCTGTAGTCCCAGCTAACTGGGAGGCTGAGGCAGGAGAATCACTTGACCTGGGAGGTAGAGGTTGCAGTGAGCCAAGATCGCGCCACTGCACTCCAGCCTGTGCGACAGAGCAAACCTCTCAAACAAACAAACAAAAAAATCACATTGCTGAGCATGTGTGAGCATTCTTACATTCCGAGCATTCTTACCTGAACAGAGAGTATCCCCAGATGTTGTTTGATGCAAATGAAAGCTCCTTGAGTACAGAAACACAGAATTAGTAATCTGACACCTAGCGTATATTACAGATTTCATAAACATATGAAGACTGGATGAAATAACATAACAATGTACATCAATTTCTGGCATTACTATTTCACCCACCAAATGCTATTATAGCAGAATAAGGACAGAATTGATTCTTCTTACACACACAGTCCTATTACTGACCAAATAAAATTTGGAGTGAACCGAAATAACAAGAACAATAATAATACAGTTAAAAGAATGGCCATTATTTGTTCATTGCTTACTATGTGCCAGGTACTGTAGCACTTCTTTTGTTATCTCATTTAATCACGGATATTATTAATACCATCATTTTACAGATGAAGAAAATGAGGTTTTGATAAACTAAGTAACTTTCCAAGGTCTCAGAGCAGTATGTGATGGAGTGGATATTTAAAGCCAGGATTTTTAGGATGTATATCTCACATTCTTAACTAGAACACCCCCTTAGACTTTCTGAATATAGACACACACTTATCTATAGTTTGAAGTGCAAGCTAATCCATGGATGGACTGAGGTGCTTCTAAGTGGATCAATCATTTTGTTCTTTTTCCTGTTAGTGATAGATGTTTCTAGAACTATGGACTTACCTTCAAACATTGTGTTATTGTGAAACAAAAGAGATAAACCATTAATGCTTGAAGGTATTTTATAATGTTTCATTGCCTTACAGTTACTTCACTGCTTTTACCTGCGGACATGATGTCATACACAGATCATAAAATGCTAATGACAAAGCTATCATGCAGGTATCATAGAGGACTTTTAATATCATCTGATGTTAAAGATACAATTTTTATGCTAGGTTGAAATTCCAACATTAAGAAGAAGTGAGGAAACACAACTTGGCATCTGTCTTTCCTTCTGTTGAAGGTTTTAAAGCATTGAAATTATACTGAATTGTTTCATGCTAAATTACTCTTAAGTTTTATTTTACACACACACACACAGATATATATATATATTTTGTGTGTGTGTGTGTGTGAGACAGAGTCTCGCTGTCGCCCAGGCTGGAGTGCAGTGGCACAATCTCGGCTCACTGCAACTTCCACCTCCCAGGTTCAAGCAATTCTCCTGCCTCAACTTCCCAAGTAGCTGGGAAAACAGGCGCACGCCACCATGCCCAGCTAGTTTTTTGTATTTTTAGTAGAGACGGGGTTTCACCATGCTGGCCAGGCTGGTCTCAAACTCCTGACCTCAAGTGATCCACCTGCCTCGGCCTCCCAAAGTGCTGGGATTACAGACATAAGCCACCACGCCCAGTCATTTATTTTTTAACTTTTATTTTAAATTCAGGGGTACAGTGCAGGTTTGTTACACAGGTAAACTTGTGTTATGGGGGTTTGTTGTACAGATTATTTCATCACCCAGGTATTAAGCCTAGTATCCACTAGTTATTTTTCCTGCACCTCTCCCTCCTTCCACCTTCCACCTTCCAAAAGGCCCCAGTGTGTGTTGTTCCTCTCTCCGTGTCCCTTTCTCCTCTACTAGTTGCTAAACTTCTTGAGATTGGGACTATATCTTTGCATGTTTGTGCCTAGCATTTAGCACACTCTGTAGGACATTTACCAGCATTACATACATGCCCAGTGAATAGACAGATCATACTATCTATATTGAGGACATATAGGTCAGAATTAAAGAATAAATAAAAAACCACGCTGATACTTTAATATGAATTCTCAAATAGAAATACATAAGCCTTCTCACCTCCAGTATTAACTTTGCAAGAGAGAATTCTCAAAGCCGACAAGAAGCCTGGTGCCCAGTGACAATAGTCTACTGTGCACATGATACAGAAACTAGAGACAGTGTTTTGAATGGTGCTAATAAGCCAAGGACACTGAACAAGCATGATGAACATTCTCTGGACACTGAAAAATCCACTTGGAGAAAAGCTACTTTTGCCTTTGAACACTCATTAATAAAGTTGCTGCCTTATTCTGCCCTAGTTACGGTGCTTTTATTGAAGAGAAAGCAATCAACCAAAAAGTTTATGACAATGAGGGCAGATTTTTTCAATAGAAAAATAATAATTGTATATTTTTATGGCGTACATGATGTTTTGCTATGGGTATACATTGTGGAATAATTAAATCAAACTAATTAGCGTATGCATTACCTCACATCCTTCTCTTATTTTTGTGATGAGAATAATAACAATCTATTTTAGTAGTAATTTTTTTTTTTTGAGACAGAGTTTCACTCTGTCACCAGGCTGGAGTGCAGTGGCACGATCTTGGCTCACTGCAACCTCAGCCTCCCAGGTTCAAGCGATTCTTCTGCCTCAGCCTCCCAAGTAGTTGGGAGTACAGGCACGTGCCACCATGCCCAGCTAATTTTTGTATTTTTAATAGAGACGGGGTTTCACCATGTTGGCCAAGATGGTCTCGATCTCCTGACCTCATGACCCGCCCGCCTCGGCCTCCCAAAGTGTTGGGATTATAGGTGTGAGCCACCACGCCTGGCCTCTAGTAGTAATTTTTAAAGATACAATACATTGTTATTAACTATGGTCACCATATTGTACAATAGATATCTTGAAATAATTTATTCTGCCTAATTGAAATTTTGTATGCATCAACAAACATTTATCCAATCCCCCCACCTGCCAGCCTTTGGTAACCACCATTTTACTCTTTGACATACCAATTTCATATCCTTTAGACATTACCCATAAGTGGGATTGCTGGATTATATGGTATATTTTTAATTTTTTGTGAAACCCCCATGGTGTTTTTCATAATAGCTATATTAATTTACATTCTTACCAACAAGCCTTACCTCTCCACATCCTTGCCAACAACACTTATCTTTTGTACTCTCAATCATAGCCATTCTAACAGGCACGAGGTGATATCTCATTGTGATTTTAACTTGCATTTCCCTGACAATAGTGATGGCAAGAATTTTTTCATAAACCTGTTGGCCATTTGTATATCTTCTTTTAAAAAAATATCTATCCAGGTCCTTTGCTCATTTTTAAATTGGGTTATTTGTTTTCTTATAATTGAGATGAATTCCTTATGTGTTTTGGATATTATCTCTTATTAGATGGTAAGCTCTCTGTCGGATGTATGATCTCTGAATATTTTCTCCTCTTCCATGAATTGTCTCTTCACCCTATTGATTGTTGCCTTTGCTGTGCAGAAGCTTTTTAGTTTGATATAATTTCATTCATCTGTTTTTATTTTACCTGGCTTTTAGAGTTATATCCAAAGAATCATTGCCCAGACCTATGTCATGTAGCTTCCCTCCTGTGTTTTCTTCTCTTTGTTTTACAGTTTCAGATCTTAGATTTAAGTCTTAGGTCTTAGATTTTGAGTTAATGTTTTTGATATGGTGTGAGATGAGGGTCTAATTTCATTCTTCTGTATGTGGATATTCAGTTTTCTGAGCACCATTCACTGAAGAGACTTTCCTTTCCCCATTGTGTGTTCTTGGCATCTTTGTCAAAAATCAATTGACCGTAAATGCATGGATTTATTTCTGGGTGAGGGATTTTAATGACTTTCAAATCATTTGACAGAACATCTCACATGAATTATTACTACATCTGCAACTCATCATAACCTTAAAATTACTGATATTCCTAATTTCTACATTTAGCAACTTGAAAATTTTGTACTTGGTACACAGCATTTGTGAAGACAGATCGATATGTATATAATATACATAAAATTAGTATAGAGATAACCAAGGCAATAATCTCAATATTATGTTTGTGGCCACTGTTGCTGTTTTAATGCTCTTCATGCTCCAGGATGACTTCCCCGTGGGAGTATAGTAGAAGAGTGGGCATATATAGCCCTCAGGGAGGGGGCAAGGTTTGGAATCCAATTACCTACATGCTTTACTGTTTGTTACACCACAAAGACATAAACCTGTTCTATTTTACTACTTACCTTTTCAGTTAATTTGTAATAGTTTGAAAGCATTATTTCAGCATACCCATGGAAAAATAGACTTCTGAGTTGAAGATTCCTATGTTTTACTGTGATTTAAAAACGAGCAGCCTTACTTAAAAAGAATAGTCTTTCTATGTAACCATGACCAAGCTAGATTGTATATAACCATATTCCATATATATCATATACGTTTTGATACCATATATGTCATATAGATCTTGATACAGTAGCAACAGGAAAGCCTTGATACCAACATTTTCATTTGTTTAAAACTAACAGCCAGGAAATTATTTAGGTTCTGGCTCTAATTAATTTAGATAATGTAGACCGAGGCTATGTCAATGTATTATTGGTTTGGAAATGAAAGAAGACTCAGACAGTTAAATTCCCCATAGCCTAGCTATGTAGTTCTGTAAGCATAGGGAATTCATTAAGCAGCAATTCATAGTACTTTTTCTTAAGGTTTTATTTGTTTTTCTTTTTGTTTTCTTGTAGAGCAAGATCTTACCAAATCCTTTAGTCATGGTCTATTTCGTTGCACTCATATGGTTGTTACTGCGAAGGTGAAGAACTAATGACTGCAGCAGGAAAAAGAATTGGATGTGTCATGAATTATGGCCCTGCTTATACTTCTACTTCAACCGTAATCATTTGTTTAAACAAAAAGTTCTGCATTTGAATTGTCACAATTGTGTGTGTGTTATAAACATCTCATATTTCATCCAGGCTCAGCCAACACTTGCCTTTATTAATGCTCATAATCAAGAAATAAAATCTCATACTAACCAAAAATTATCCTTCATAAGAGAATATAAACAGAAGTCTGGTTCATAAACTTACTAATTAACACCTCTATTCTCATGTATCAACTAACATTTTTGTTTCGTCTTAAAATAAATAAAACTTTATGACATGCTAATAATTTATTTAAAATTTTATCTTTCAAAGGCTTATCTTCTCTTAATGTTCGACTTAGGTTTTTTTATACTATTGATTTTGCCTTTAGAAAATTTTCATATCCCAGCCAGACAAAGTGGCTCACACCTGTAATCCTAACATTTTGGGAGGCTGAAGCAGGAGAATCACTTGAGGTCAGGAGTTTGAGACCAGCCCGACCAACATGGTGAAACTTCATCCCTACTAAAAATCCAAAAATAAGCTGGGTGTGGTGGCAGGCACCTGTAGTCCCAGCTACTTGGGAGGCTGAGATAGGAGAATCACTTGAATCTGGGAGGCAGAGGTTGCAGTGAGCCGAGATCAGGCCACTGCACTCCAGCCTGGGCAACAAAGCAAGACTCCATCTGAAAAAATAAATAAATAAAATAAATATCCCTCTCCTATAGCATACAAATATAGGCACTAAGTATACATTGCATACCTTTTCTTAGATCATATTCCAGTTCCTGTAATTTCCTCCTCCCTTTTTTTTTCTCATACAGGGATTTATAAGATTTAGGATTCACTTTTGTATACAGCGTATTCTTTCACTTTGGTTTTCCTATGGAAACCAGTTTATTTTCATAGAAAACATATTAGCTACTCTACCTTCCTATGTACTACGTCTGGATTGCAGCCTTCTTCTGAATGAGCACTGTAATTACAACATTCCCTAGACTACATCAGAACTCATGAACAAGCAGAACTTCAACATGTAACTTTCTCAGTAATCAGTAATCAAGTTCAACAGGATAATCAGCAACAACCAGCACAGGGAGGCAGAGTGTTTCTCTCACTCTCTAATAGCAGTAACGTATTCATGTTTTTATTGTTGGGGACCTTCAAATCATTTTAAGAAGTCACAGTTTTACTGTGGTGTCAATAAAACCAGAAAGATAACCAAGAATTTTATGGTATAAATTTGCCTTACTAACTGTGCCTGAAAAGATGAACAGAGAAGAGTGATTAATGAGCCTAATGGTCTAAGTGGAAGAATACTCAATTCCGAGTTAATTCTCACTCAAGGTTTTTGTCTATCTAACTTACCAGGCAGAGAAGATACACAATTAATAATCTGAATTCTCAGCTTTTTTCCTGTTATTTTTGGACTTATTAATTCAACAAATATTAAACAGGTTGATATTATGCTGGAATGCTGAGAATGCATTAGGCAAGACAAAAATCTCTGTTTCAATTGAGTGTAAATCCAAAGACGGAGGTAGATAAAGCAGTTACTAGTGTGGTTGTTTATTCATGATTTATTAGCTACTGTGCTAAGTGTCAGGTATACAGCAGTGAGCAAGACAGACAGGCCTCTGCCCTGGTAGGAGGTGTGTATTAAGTCCTAAGAAAGCAGCAAGCATTAGATCTTGTCACACAGAGGATATTTAAAATCGTCTTTAGGGGACAGGGATGTTGTTCTAAAGACAGTGACAGCTTATCTGAGACCCAAAAGGCAAATGACACGTGGCCATTTCATGGATGAGGAAAGGAAGAGTTTTCTAGCATGGGACTAGCAGATGCCCAAAAGTCAGAGGAGCATCTCTTTGTCAGGTCCCTAGAGGTAGCCCTGTGTGGCTGAAGTAGAGGATGTAGAACAGGATGCTGTGAAAGCAGAGATAAGCAGTTTACCAGACCATGAAGGACATAATAAAGTGGACCTTAATGGAATCTGAGCCAGGCTGCCTGGGTTCAAATCCTGGTTCAGACACAAACTCTGTCTTGACGACTTTAGGTATGGCGAATCATTCTATTGTCAACCTAGTTAATCTGAGAACCACATTTCACATTCTTTTCTCACAGATAGTTCTCTGTTAGCATGGCCAACGAGATAACTTTTACAAGATTTAGGAGGTAGAAGTGAAGCAGCAGCCAATACCCTCTAAAAATCATCGTGATTGGATGTAGTGATGGACAGACACAGAGGTCCCTAGGGGGGCTTTTCCTCACTCTCTTCCACTTCACTTCCAGCTCTTCTTCTCTACTCCGGCTCCTCTGACTAGGAGCAGCCCTAGGACCATCAATGAATACTTGACCACAAACCCACAGAGGCAAAATCTTCCCACAGACTTATCTGCCAGCAGCTTCACAGTCCCACTTGGGTGGCTGGATGTGCTTGGCTTTTTATATTGACTGGCTGGGAACCACTCAGATCTTCCTTCCCAAGCATCTCATAATGTTATATATACACATTCTATAATACATCCCTTATCTTACAACACACAGTGGATGTGTTTCTCTGACTCATATATGGAACAAGTTGCTTAAGCTCTCTATCCCTGTTTATCTTAAAAGAGGATGATAATAATTACAATAGTATCTGCTTTATGGGGTTGTCTTGAGAAAATAATGTATGCTCACAAAATGATAGCTATTTTGAAAAGTTCATTCTTTACCTTAAGGTGGATGGGGAGTCGATAAAAGATTTTGGGTAAGTGACATGATTGGATTTTTGTTTCAGGACAACCAATCTGAGTGAGATGTGGAATACAGATGTGAGGTTGGTGAAAGTAGAGACAGAGACACATTCTGTCACAGTAATCAGAATTTTTAATCTTGGTAGCTTTCACTGAGGTAGTGGCCCTGGGATTGAAGATCGGGGGACAGATTCAAGAATCTTTGAGAAACTAGAAATGACAGAGCTTGGTAAATTAAGTATGGGGAATGGAGGAAAAAGAGACATGAAGGATTATTTTCAGGCTTCTAATTTAAGAAAGTGGATGGATCATGGTGCAATTTTCTGAAACAGTAAAAATGGAAACAGAACTTGTTTGGTATGAAAGTGATGAAACTGGTCTGGCGCAGTGGCTCAGGCCTCTAATCCCAGCACTTTGGGAGGCTGAAGTGGGCGGACATGAGGTCAGGAGATTGAGACCATCCTGGCTAACACTGTGAAACGCTGTCTCTACTAAAAATACAAAATATTAGCCAGGCGTGGTGGTGCGCACCTGTAGTCCCAGCTACTTGGGAGGCTGAGGCAGGAGAATGGCGTGAACCCAGGAAGCGGAGCTTGCAGTGAGCAGAGATCATGCCACTGCACTCCAGCCTGGGCGCCAGAGCAAGACTCTGTCTCAAAAAAAAAAAAAAAAAGAAAGAAAGTGATGAAACTTAGTTTTAGATATGATGAGCCCAGGGTATCCATGAGACATCTAATTGGAGATGATAAACAGGAAGTTACATGTACTGAACAGTTGAGTCTGGAGATGAGGCATGAAATGTTCACCTATCTCTTAATCCATTATACTTATAAAGTAAATATATTTTCAACAAGAAAAAGGCATTAGCTGGGTGCAGTGGCTCACGCCTGTAATCCCAACACTGTGGGAGGCCAAGGCAGGTGGATCACCTGAGGTCAGGAGTTCGAGACCAGCCTGGCCAACATAGTGAAACCCCATCTCTACTAAAAAACAGAAAAATTAGCTGGGCATGGTGGCTCACACCTGTAATCTCAGCTACTCAGGAGGCTGAGGCAGGAGAATCACTTGAACCCCAGAGGCAGATGTTTCAGTGAGCCGAGATCTCGCCATTGCACTCCAGACTCCAGCCTGGGCAACAAACAACAGCGAAACTCCATCTCCAAAAAAAAAAAAAAAAAAAAGGCAAGGAATTGAACGTGAATTCATGATTATTCAAATTATGTGGAGATTGGCACTCAACAAACGTAGCATATACATTATTTTCAAGTACCCAGAGAACACTGACAACATCCTGCTGTGTAATGCAAATATTAATGCATTTCAAAGAACGGGTATCATACAGACCATGATGAGTTTGAACACAGTCTGTCAAATATCCCCAGCATTTTCTTGGTGAAAAAAGGGAGGAAACTTTTAGCTTCTCTAGAAAGATTATCTATATCCCAGATTGACTATCCTCCTGAAGGAAATCCTTGCCCTTTAAGCAGAAAAATGACAGGCTTTGCCTAATTCACAGGACATTCACATGTATTAGAGACAGCAAAGTGGCTGGACACAGGAGAATTGTCACATCTTTTTGGAAAGAGTCAGGCACAGCCTAAAAAGATTAAATCTCTGAAAGAATCCTAGATCAGGTAATCCAGCAGGCATCATGCATAGCTATAATTCTGTCCTAGTCCATTTTGTGTTGCTACAAAAGAATATCTGAGATTTAGTAATTTGTTTTTTTAAAAATAAGGTTTATTTAGCTCACAATTCTGTAAGCTGGGAAGTTCAAGAGCATAGCACCACATCTGGCTGGCTTCTCGTGAGGGCCATGTGCTAGTCAAAACATGGTGAAAGGCTGGGTGCGGTGGCTCAAGCCTGTAATCCTAGCACTTTGGGAGGCCAGGGTGGGCACGAGGTCAAGAGATACAGACCATCCTGGTCAACATGGTGAAAACCCGTCTCTACTAAAAATACAAAAATTAGCTGGGTGCCGTAATCCCAGCTACTCAGGAGGCTGAGGCAGGAGAATCACTTGAACCTGGGAGGCAGAGGTTGCAGCAAGCCAAGATCACACCATTGCACTCCAGCCCAGGCATCAAGAGCGAAATGCTGTCTCAAAAAAAAAAAAAAAAAAAAAAGAAATGTATGGTCTAGTTGGTGAGACCTGAGTAGCACATATGACCTCAGAATAATTAATGATATCTTCAAGAAAATGTGAACAAAAGCATATATTTGACTACCTAAAAATTAAGTGTCCATACATTGAAATGTTTATTTTAAAGATATCCAAACTAAAAGACAAGATTTATTGGCCAGGCATGGTGGCTCACGCCTGTAATCCCAGCACTTTGGGAGGCTGAGGCAGGCAGATCAAGACCATCCTGGCTAACACGGTGAAACCCCGTCTCTACTAAAAATACAAAAAATTAGCTGGGCATGGTGGCGGATGCCTGTAGTCCCAGCTGCTCGGGAGGCTAAGGCGGGAGAATGGCGTGAACCCAGGAGGCGGAGCTTGCAGTGAGCCGAGATTACGCCACTGCACTCCAGCCTGGGCGACAGAGCGAGACTCTATCTCAAAAAAAAAAAAAAATTTATGAGCAAGTTTATTATTACAGTGTTGTTCATTACAAAGCTGCAGATGGCCAAAATAATCATCAGGAGAATAGAAAAGGTACAGTTAGATAATAGAATCATATGCTGCTGTTAAAATGACAATAATAAATTATTTGAAATGATGTACAGTATGCATATTACATAATGTTTTGAGAAAAAAATGTTTTTCACATTTTATCTGCTATTAAATTGAAGAAATATGAGAAAGACCAGAAGAAATGTCTAACATATAAACTGTTACTGTGTCTGAATAAAAGATATATATGCTGAGTTTTCCTGTTTATGCCTTTCGAAGTTTACTCAGATAATCATGAAAAATTTAACCAAAAAATGATGTTAACAAAAATTCTTATAACAATTTAAAATTTAAAATGTAATGCTATGTAAGTGCACAGGTGACAGAAGGGCTGAGATTATTGCTACGGAGTAACAGCAACTTGGGGTACACAGGCAGTACTACTGCAAATGAGTGGTGGCTGTTACCCTCTGCCTTCTTGGGAAGCACTTGGAAGTGTAGAGTGGTCACTGAAGGATTGCCAAGATTGATACCATAAAGTTACTGGAAGATATTCAGAGCCAAATTCAAGAGGTTCATGAAAAGTGGTCACAAAAGGAAAACATATTGCAAAATTATAGGACTTAGGTTTAATGAGCTCTTAGGTATCAATTCAGAGAACATCATCATGTTTATTTTTTAAAGGCGTATATTATGAGAAAGCAATTCAAAAATGAAGAAATACAGTTGGCCACTAGGCATATGAAAAGAGAACATTCTCACTTAGTAATCAAATTAAGATGAGATATTTTACCTGCCATACAACTTTTTTTTTTTGAGACGGAGTCTCGCTCTGTCGCCCAGGCTGGAGTGCAGTGGCGCGATCTCCTCTCACTGCAAGCTCCGCCTCCCAGGTTCACGCCGTTCTCCTGCCTCAGCCTCCTGAGTAGCTGGGACTACAGGCGCCCGCCCCCAAGTCCGGCTAAGATTCTTTGTATTTTTAGTAGAGACGGGGTTTCACCATGTTAGCCAGAATGGTCTCGATCTCCTGACCTCGTGATCCACCCGCCTAGGCGTCCCCAAGTGCTGGGATTACAGGCGTGAGCCACCGCGCCCGGCCTCCTGCCATAAAACTTTTAATAATATTAATTGCTAACATACATTCAGTGTCTACTGTGTGCCAGTCTTTTCCTAAAAGTTTTAGATGTGTTGACTTGTTTGTTTAACCCTCCCAACAATCCTAATAGGTGGGTTCTACCTCTTTGCAGATGAGAAAACTGGGGTATAGGGACAGAGCTCATCAGTGTGAGGAGCAGATGGAACCCAGGCAGTGCAGTCCCAAAACCAGCTTTTTTTTTTTTCGGGGGTGGGTCTCACTCTGTCACCCAGGCTCGAGTGCAGTGGTACAATATCAGCTCACTGCAACTTCTGCCATCAGGGTTCCAGCGATTCTTTGGCCTCCCGAGTAGGTGGGACCACAGACGTGCACCACCAGGCCCAGCTAATTTTTGTAGAGACAGGGTTTCGCCATGTTGCCCAGGCTGGTCTTGAACTACTGAGCTCAAGGGATTCACCTACCTTGGCATCCCAAAGTGCTGGGATTATAGGCATGAGCCACCACGCCTGGCCCCAAAACCAACTCTCACCTACCACACCATACAACCTCTTCAATAAAAATACATATACTGAATATGTAATTATAAACAATAAATAAGATAACATACATACATCCTAATTATCCAGTAATAATGCTATGAATATCCAACATTGTTGAGGGCATGAAGACAGCAGCATCATAAAAACAGATTGATATATAAATTTGTACAAACTTTTGGGAGAATATTTTGGTGATCCATATGAATAACCTTGAAAATGTTCATGCCTTCTTAGTCCGGCAATTCTATTTCTACTAATATTATATGTTATAGTTATGAATATTACATTGTCAATTTCTAGTAATAATCATTAAAAATAATTAGACATACCCAAACATTTACATGCAATGGAAAAAAAAAAAGATCACAATTATCATATACCTACTATTATCTCTTCAGTTGGGTGAAGGAAGCAGGGCCAAGGTAATGTCGACTGTTTGAAAGTCTGTTTCAGGCCGGGCACTGTGGCTCATGCCTGTAATCCCAGCACTTTGGGAGGCCAAGGCGGGCGGATCACGAGGTCAGGAGATGGAGACCATCCTGGCTAACACGGTGAAACCCTGTCCCTACTAAAAATACAAAAAAATTAGCCGGGCATGGTGGCGGGCATCTGTAGTCCCAGCTACTCTGGAGGCTGAGGCAGGAGAATGGCGTGAACCAGGAAGACTGAGGCTGCAGTGAGCTGAGATCACGACACTGCACTCCAGCCTGGGCAGCAGAGCGAGACTCTGGTTCCATCTGATCTAGGTGAATTCCTTCCTTATCATCATGGAAAACAAAAATAAAGTTTATTCTGTAGAGAGGACAAAAACACAGGGTCTCTGGACTGGGGGCACAGCACATTTGGTGTCAGGGACTAAAGTGAATGTTCGTGTTCTGAATGCCAGGACTCCAGCCTCCTTCTCCCACCTAGGTTTCTAATGCTGGCCCTGCAGTCTATACCCTCTGGGCAGAACATTGAAAGAACCCAGTGGCCCTGGCAATTTACTCAACCTCAGAAACCTTATATATGGAAATATATATTTCCATATATATGGAAATAATTATAAATACGCAGAGAGTTTTGGTGAGCACCAAATAAGGTTATATGACTATTAGCATAGTGCTTGCAATGTGAAGTAATTAACAGAATAAGTTATTTTTAAAATTTGCTGTAATTATTCTCATAATAAAGTGAAATTTAGTAATGCTCTATTTGCATATTTATATTTGCATCTCCTACTCAAGTCTAAGCTTCACAAAGTAAGGCATGTGTACTGTTTGGTATTTTATCCTCAATGTTTAGGATAGCATCTGACATTAGTAGGAGTGCAATAGGTATTTGTTTACAATAGAATGAGTGAATGCTTATCTGATGATTAAAAATACATGGGGCCAGTATCAGGTAGTTGAAAGAGAAATGAACTAGAACACAGGAGTCCTAAATTCTAGATCTGGTTCTGCTAGATAACCTTGAACTAATCACCACAACCTCACTGGACCTTAGTTTTGTTTTCTATTAACTGTACTTGTTAATAGACTGAGATTTCTAAAGCCTCTCCCAGCAATAACCTGTTGTCTACATTGGGAAGAGCTGCCTCTGTGGCCTTCAGTGTGCCCAATAGCTATTCTTGAAGTAACACGTGACGGCTTCTTTTGTTCACGTCAGTTAGTAAGCGGGTATTAATTGAATGTTACCACTGTAATAAGGCTGGGAAAACAAAGATTAAAAACTTATAGTTCTGTTGCTTAAAAACAAACAAAAACAGCTGGGCGCGGTGGCTCACGCCTGTAATCCCAGCACTTTGGGAGGCCGAGGTGGGCAGATCACAAGATCAGGATCTGGCCAACATAGTAAAACCCTGTCTCTACTAAAAATACAAAAATTAGCTGGGTGTGGAGGCGGGCACCTGTAATCCCAGCTACTCGGGAGGCTGAGGCAGGAGCATTGCTTGAATCCAGGAGGCGGAGGAGGATGCCGTGAGCCAAGATTGCACCACCACACTCCAGCCTGGGGGACAGAGCGAGACTCCGTCTCAGGAAAAAAAAAAAAAAAAAAAAAAAAACATGAGCAATACCAAAAAACCAGGAATTCAGTAAAACATGATACATCTTTTTTCACCCTATATAATGTTAACAAAATTATATCTATAACCCTATTACTATAAATATTTTTAAAACCCAACATATCCTATTATCTTATCTTTATTAGCATGACACCAAAAACCAGAAGGAATTTATGCTCTAGAAAACTACGGTAAGTTGCTCTTGAACAATACTTTCAAGATTTATTCTCACAGTTGATTCTTTTGACTAGATATTAATTTGTATTTCCAAACTGAATGACATGACTTTCAGTGATGTTATTCATAACCATAACACATATGAAGTTAATTTTTAGGGCTTGACAATTTAAGAAAATAAACATACAAATTTATTCTCTCAACCTTCAGAAAATAAAAAAGTAATAGCATCTGAAGAATTCTCATTCCAGATTCTTATCGTTCATGTGGAATTTCTGCCTGTGTGAACATGGCTGATTGAGATTACTGTATGTGCCTATTTGGAACTGTAAAGCAATATGCTGTTTCCTGTCCATTGTGTTTTATGGATATGGTCAATATGACAGCACTATTGAGGTTCAATTTCCTAGAAAATTTAGTAAGTCATGTTTAAAATTAAAATTAAAACTTACTCAAAGTAGTCTCAGAATAACAGAAGCAGCAGAGAGGAAACAGTAAATCAATTAAAGAAACACTGAGCCCAAGTTGTTACATTATCTTGGTTGAACCAGAAACTTAATCTTTCTGCAGTGGCTGACCTAATTGTACCACTAGATTCCCTTTCTAGTGGCAGAAAACTCTTCCCAGCATCCCATGTGGTAAAATGTATCATGGGGAGCTTCTTTTTCATTACTCTAAGAGTTAAAACTATTTTTAAATTAGCTTCATTGAAGAATAATTTACATATAATAAAATGTACCCATTGAAGTGCATAATGCAATCAGTTTTGACAAATGCACATAGTAGTTTAACCACCACCACAATCTTGCAATAGAACATTTCTAGGAACTACCTTTAAAAAATATCCATTTTCTATTCTTTCGTTTATTTTGTAAATGTTTAGAGCATCTATTTTGCAACAACATAGGCAATATGAATACCAGGCATGAATGAAGCATCTAAACTCTGGTCTCAACTGCTCATACATGTCAAAGCACTTAGAAAGCCCTGCTGGGGGAGGGATGATGGGAACCCTTCCAGAACCAGGGCCAGAAGATCAGTGTAGACTAGATAATTCCAGAAATCCATCCAAGAGGAAACTACAAGGAAATTTGCATTTATCAGGTACCTACTTTGTGGCAAGCACACTACACACGTGAGTTCTTATAACAAAATATTTTATGTAAGGAGAACAAGGCACTGCAAAAAAATAGTTAAAGGCTAAGGCTGTGAAGATGACTTGTGGGCTCCAATCCCCAACTCTGCCACTTACTGGCTTTGAAATCTTGGGCAAAGTATTAAACATCTTTGGTTTTTTGTTGTTTGTTTGTTTTTGCAACATATTCTTGCTCTGTTGCCCAGGCTGGAGTGTAGTGGCGTGATCTCAGCTCACTGTAACCTCCACCTCCTGGGTTCGAACCATTCTTCTGCCTCAGTGTCCCCAGTAGCTGAGACTACAGGTGCACACCATCACACCCGTCTAATGTTTGTATTTTTAGTAGAGATGGGGTTTCACCATGTTGGCCAGGCTGGTCTCAAACTCCTAGCCTCAAGCAATCCACCCGCCTCAGCCTCCCAAACTGCTGGGATTACAGGCCTGAGCCACTATGCCCGGCCTCAAACATCTTTGTGCCCAGTTTCCTCACATGAAACGTAATAATACTTCCCTCATAGGATTAGTACAGGTAAATGAGCTTGTACATGTGAAGCACTGAGGAAGGCACCCAGTATATAGTAAGAACTCCATAAATGGTCATGACCATTGTTAATGAGTTCTTATGCTAGACCAGTGTCTAGCATCTCACAGCTAGCAAGTTTCAGACTGTAATATGAACACATGTGTGTGAGACTCCAAAGCTCATGCTTTTTCCACATCTTGGTTGAATTAGAAAGTGGCAATGATAAGCGGGCAGGAGGGACATGAGTCTGTTCATCTTTCCTTCTTCCTTGAAATCCTGTTCTCTCATCCCCTCCCCCAGTACCTCTAAAATTCCTAACTGTAGTGATGCTGTGGAGCACACCCAGATCACCCTCTTCGGCCCAAGGCACCTATCCTTCCTTTCCCCTCCCCTGTTCTGGGGTTATAATTTAATAATAATTTGACTGTTTATGGCTCACAACTGCATCCCTCTCTGGGAATTATTTTTGGTCAAAGGTAGCTGCCTCACCCAAGGTTATGTCCCATCCTCAGGGACTGCTTATATCTAATCACCATTTTATGTGAGTTTGAGTCTCCAGGCTCTCCTGCTTTAACTCAGGACACCTCTGAAGGGCCATCCCACTTGCAGAGCTCTCTGTGGGATCAGCAGAGGTCTCTGTTGCCACTGATTCCTCTTCCCAATCATGCTTTTCTTACTCCCTTACAAGTGCTGCTCCAGGAGCATGAATCAATAATCCTGCTACATGCAAACCTCCATCTCAGCATCTGTTTCCAGGAAACCCAACCTAGGACTTGGTACTGGAAGTATTCTTAGGAGGCAGCTCTGCAGTGGGGCTTTGGAAGGGGCTCAGCAGACGGAGTATCAAAAGCTCCTGGCAGCTGTAGCAGTTCAATTGTTCATGAGAGGTTAAGGAGTATAGGATACCGGTGGAAAGGAACGCTCTGAAGGATACTATTGTCTCAGGCATTTGAGAAGCATGGAGGAAGTGGTGCTTTTAAGGACCATGGAATTAGATGTCTGTTGCTGGGTATTATTGATGCATTAGAAAAAAGACAATGAAGACAATGGTGATTAATCACCAACTTAAGAAGTGCAAGTTATAGACTGTCCTTGGCTGCGTATAAAGAGGTTCATCTTCTGCAGCTAGAGGGCAGAAAAAGCTAAGCATCAAACATTAGACTTAATTAGAAAGGGGGTGAAGTCCAGAAGTTTGTACTCTCAAATCTGATTTGATTATCACACCTTGATTGGAAAGGACCTGGGACTTAAGAACATCTGGGTCAATGCAATCAAGAACTCTGAAATCTGAGTCTGCTGAACCCTTTGAGCCTGAAGAAGTGGCCCACTCCTCTCTGTTGAAGACTAGTTGAAGGCTGGCCCTTATAATCTTTCTTAAGGATGTTGCAGAAGTCTCTACCTAGCAAGATAAATACACTCTGGCCTGTCACAGTGGCTCACGCCTGTGATACCAACACTTTGAAAGGCCAAGACAGGTGGATCACTTGAATCAGGAGTTCAAGACCAGCCTGACCAACATGGTGAAACCCCATCTCTACTAAAAATACAAAAATTAGCTGGGTGTGGTGGTGTGCGCCTGCAATCCCAACTACTTGGGAGGCTGAGGCAGGATAATTGCTTGAACCTGGGAGGCGGAGGTTGCAGTGAGCTGATATTGCACCATTGCACTTCAGCCTGGGCAACAGAACAAGACTGTCTTCTCAAAAAAAAAAAAAAAAAAGAAAAAAGATAAATACATTCCAGATGATGGGAAATAATCCTTATGAAGGTTGAAGGTTCAGGAGCTTAAAGTTTACAGTGACTTTTTTTTAAGGACATATAAGGCTATCCCCTCAAAAATAAAGGACAAATTATTGCATCTCATATCTGCCACACCTAAGAAAGAAGGACAATGCTTTTAGTCCTTTTAAGATTTTGGAGACAGCTTATCCACTCTGTGTGTCACCATACTCCTTCTTTATACTCTACATCCTGTGATGCCCCATTTAGGATCCTATGGTAACTAGTAATGTATCTTCACATTACATATGTTTAAAAATACACAATAAAGTGTTTTAACCAATATGAAGAAAATAAGGTAATTTGTAAAATTAGTACATATCTTGACATGCAAATACTTTGATTTAACTACACTGAAAGACATAAGTAAGTATTGTAATCAGATTTTTTGAACCTATATCTTTAAGGTTATTGAACCTATATCTTTGAACCTATCAATTGTGATAATTACAATATAGATTGATACATAGTTGAGTTACTCAAATACCAAGGATATTATCAATTATATGGTTTTTCAAAATGGTGATTAGCTCTTGGTAAAGTTTCAAACATTAAAAGTGCAATTATGGCCAGGCGCAGTAGCTCATGCTTGTATTCTCAGTACTTTGGGTGGCCAAGACGGGTAGATAGCTTGAGGTCAGGAGTTCGAGACCAGCCTGGACAACGTGGTGAAACTCCGTCTCTACTAAAAATACAAAAATTAGCTGGGCATGGTGCCAGGCACCTGTAATTCCAGCTGCTTGGGAGGCTGAAGCAGGACAATCACTTGAACCCAGCAGGCAGAGGTTGTAGTAAGCCAAAATCACACCACCGCACTCCAGCCTGGGTGACAGACTGAGACTCCGTCTCAAAAAAAAAAAGAAAGTGCAATTATTTATCAGGTACTTACATTACTGGAAAAAAAATCAATGTATATTGAAACCTTGAAAATAAAATCCTCTGTTTACATATAAAATAGAGTAAGCTTCCACATTCAGTTAATTATAAACAGATTTTTACCTACTGTCCAGCAGGAGATTCAAAAGACGTGCAATGTTAATTAATTCTTAATTGTATGGAAATGTTTTTTCATTGAAGGATACTAAATGCCAATAGTACTTCCAATCATTGTGATAACCAAAAATGCCCCCCTTTGAGGAAGTACCTATCCTGATAAGAACCACAGCTCTAATATGTCTGAATTTCTCCTGTTTCCTTTGCCACTCATTACATGCTAGTTTCTCAAGGTATCAGCTGTCTGTTAGTAACCCCAAATCCATATCTCCAGCATCATTATCTTCTTAAACTTTAGATGTGTATTTTCAATTTTCTGAAGGATATAGAATCTGAAAACCTCACCCATACATCAGACTGAACCTGTCCACCTCATTTTGTTAACTTTTACATAAATCTATTTATATTTCTGTTGTCTTAATCTGTGCCATTCTCATATACTCAATCATGCAAGTTAGCACCCTGGGTATCATCTTTGTTTCCTCCCAACTCTTACTCCCACATCAACGCAATCAGTAAGACCTTCTGATTTTGCCATCATCTCTCCATTCTATAACCATTGCACGTCATACAGAAAACAGTAACCTAACAACCAGAAGAAAATAGCTGGATTGTAAATGTGATCATGTTATCTTCCTGATTTAAACTCTTCAGACAGGACTAATGTCTCTTCTGTGTTCATAAATAACACCTTGCATGTACTTCAATCATTGCCTGTGCCACATTGTATTATAATTACCTGTTTGTATTTCTGCCCCACTAAGCTATAAGCTCCCTGATGTCAGGAATTGTGTTTTATTCAGTTGTACATTCCCAGGGCCTAGCACAACACTGGATGCAGCACAACAGTCAATAAATATTTGCCGAATGAATTAAAGATCCATAAGAAACCACAATACTAATGATTAACTTAATGTGAGTGAAGTAAGGTGTAACTTAATTATAACATACAGATTTGGGTGGCGGGGCACGGTGGTTTATGCCTGTAATCCCAGCACTTTGGGAGGCCGAGGCAGGTCAATCATTTGAGGTCAGGAGTTCGAGACCAGCCTGGCCATCATGGTGAAATCCTTTCTCTACTAAAAATCCAAAAATTAGCCGGGCATGGTGGCAGGCACGAATTGCTTGAACCCAGGAGGCGGAGGTTGCAGTGAGCTGAGATTGTGCCACTGCACACCGCCCTGGGCGACAGAGCAAGAATACATCTCAAAAAAAAAAAAAAAAGAGAGAGATTTGGGTGATGATCTTTACATTATCAATGAAATTATTGACTACCAAACTATCATCCTTTGAAATTATTTCAGGACAAAACAGATATTAAAATAATTTTAATACATTCTTTACCTCACATGAACAATAACAAAAGGGTTGGTCTGATAACTTGATGAACTTATTTTCTCTGTTTTAACAGCTTCTTTAAGCTGTTAAAAAATCTTTTCTAATCAGAAAAGGAAAATGGCTTTCCTGATTGTCCTTTTTCTCATTTATTTAAAAATAGTCATTAAATAGCAACCATGTGCCAACCAATGTGTCAAAAAATGAGAAAGGGTGGGTATGGTATCTAAGATCTGGTCTTTCTTTTGAGGTGTTCAAAGCATGATAGGGGAAAGAGTCATGTAAACAAAATCCCTAAGCACTGTGGCAAGCGTAACAATGAAGTTATGGAAAAAGCATTATGAAGTCACCAAGAAAATTGTGATTAACAGGTCATTGTGGGAAAGATGTTATCTAGGAGCAGGCTTCCTAGATAAAGTCACACTTGAATTTGGTTGTGTTGTTCTGTCAGTCAGGTTAGGTGAGGTTATGCCATGGTAACAAACACCACCAATGCATCCGTTGCTTTAATACATGCGCAAGTTTTACACATCACTCATGTTACACATCCAATTCCAGTTAGCAGGAAACTACTGCTCAGTACAGTCACTAGGAGCCCCTGGTGACAGAGACTTCGTCTCAACAGGTAACTTCATGATAGCTGGAGCAGCGGGAGAGAACTCGGCAACCCTTGCCCTTGAAACTTCTGCCAGGAAATTTCTGCCTGATGAATACAGCACATCTGCTCACCACATATTGGAAAAAGCAAGTCACATGACCACATCTAATTTAAAATGGGATGGGAAAAGAGCGATCTTACCAAATGCCTGAAAGCAGGAGAAACTGACCATTTGTAAATGACCCTAAAGATCACCAGTTATTAAGGATGAACAAGACTGTGTTACATGAAGAAGAGAAGGAATAGCAGGCACAGTGTCACAGAGTGTGTTGTGATGAAACAGGAGCATTCCCTGACCCCCCCTTACAGGATGTGCAACAGGGGTGTGGCTTGTCTGCTTGGCCGCTGAATGCTCAAATCCTTTACAGGATGGGAGCACACCGACAGGCAGGTGCAGGAAGCCGGGCAAGTGCTTTTGGGCTCCGGCCCCAAGGTAGCATCTAGGGGTGGGTGCCTGTGACTCTAGAAGCCCCAGTGGGCATGCCACAGTGCTCTTTTAGCTCTGTTGTCTGCAAACAGCTTAAGAGTTAACCAGCTCAGTGCCCTCTTGGTACCCAGGTTCTTGTCTGGTGTCCAGGAAGAATGAGGTCACACACAGACTCAAAGGATGGTGAATGCAGGGATTTTATAAGGTGATGGAGGTGGCTCTCAGCGGATGGATGCGGAGCTGGAAAGGGAATGAGTGGGAAGATGATCTTCCCCTGGAGTTAAGCTGTCCCAAACACATCTCCTCTCTAACCGTCCCCAGCCAAACTCCCCTTGACTTTCGGACACTCCTTCTCTTCTCTCCTTCTCTGCTGTGCTGCTCTTCTGCTCCTCTACCCTTCTGTTTGTGTGCTCATCTGCTTATGGAGCCTGCGGTTTGCGGTTTATATGGGTGCAGGATAGGGGGGCGTGGTGGACCAAAAGACATTTGGACACGAAAACAGGAATACCTGTTCCCATTTAGGGCCACAGGTTTCCAGGCTTGAGGGTGGGGCCTTTGCCAGGGAACTGCCCCCTTCTACCCAGTATATCCCTGTCTCCTGTCTGAATCAGCACGATGTATGGGCAATGACATTAAGTTTGTGTTGTCTGGGACGTAGGCTATAGAGCCAGAGATGTTAGAAAACAGTTGGAAAGGGAAGTGAAGGCCACGTTGAGAAGGGTCTTCTTAGCAGGTTGAAGAATTTAGACTTTTATCTATCAGTAACATAGAAGTACTTTTCAAAATATTTCAATCAATTTAATCTGTGTATCTATGGTAAATTGGGAGATAATAAGAAGTAGTAGAGAGTAGTTAGAATCACTGTGCTTCAAAAAGAAACTACATACTTGTAAGCCACGTTTCTGTTTTTGAAAAGAAAGAGGATAGAAAGAAAGAAAGAGAGAGAAAGGAAGAAAGAAAAGAGAAAGAGAGAAGAAAGAACAAAGAAAGAGAAAAAGAAAGAAGAAAGAAAGAAAGAAGAAAGAAAGAGAAAAGAAAAGAAGAAAGGAAGAAAGAAAGGAAGGGAAAGAAAGAAAAAGAAAGACACTACCTGAGAAAGCAAAATTCCATTTTGTCCTCTATAATCTGTATCCAGAGACTATGTGGGACATAGGCCCTTGTACTGAGTAGGTGTGTGAATGCAGATCAGCCTCTGGCTGGAGGCTCTGACACTTCCCTTAAGGAGGTTACAGCTTTTAGAAACAACAGGGTGATTGAACTGTGATTTCACCCCTGACTAGAAAACAACAATTCCCCCTGTGGCTTAAGGGTAACCAGGGTTTTGTTTTAAATTAAAAGTAAATTACTTATGTTAAAGATGCCCTAGGGACCCTTAGGTATTCTATCATTTAAAGCAAACCAAGCAGAACTCAGAAAATTATTAGCATTCCTCTAGAGAGCACTTTGGGCTATCTCCTATTGTCCATTCAATGGCCAGTTTATTAGGAACTTTTGTGAGGATTGTTTATCAAACTCAAACTTTTCCATGTAATTATCAGGCAGAGAGAGAGTCTAAATAAACAGAAAACATACGAATAACTAACTTATCTTGCCAACAGATATTGATGAAAAAGCTCAGCTTCAAACTCCACTATGGCAACTAATACCACAAATAGGCTTTATTTTTTTCCCATCACAAAACAAGTTTATTTAATAAAGAAAGTAATATACATGTATGGATACAAAAACCCATTCACTCACTCATTTACTCATTCAATCAACTTCTAGCAAAGGTCCCAGCTGGATCCCAAACTGAAACTCCAACATAACAGGCATGCCTAGTAAACAGACACGTTAGGTCACTTAAAGTTGAGCAAAAGCTCTTCATGGGCACATGAAGTTAGGGTCAGGAGAAGGCAGACAGCAAACTACTTTTCTCGACTCTTGATTCCACTGCACATTTGATGGGGTCTTATGTATAGAGGGACTGTATCCAGATGGTCAAGTTGCTGTCTGGGGAGGGACAGGACACAAACAATACTACTTCTGTGCTCAGGTGTCCAAGGGAGTCAGGGGGGAGAGGGAGAGGGTACTTTCCCCATTTCTACACACACACACACAGCATCAGTATATAGTGGCCTCCACAGAGTATCATGCCATTTTTTGATACCCAGGGCATGTGTATTTGTGTGTGCAAGCATAGCCACCTTGTGGCACAATTCTAGGGAGTGCCATTCTGTTGGAGTGTAAGGAAATGGTAGCCCTGGGGTTGTACAGGGCATAATCTCTATTGTCCTACACAGCTCTCCTGGCAGCCCTGTTCAAATCAGAAGACTGCATCCTGAGCAGAGATATTAGTATTGCCATGTTGGTCTCTTCATGCAGTCTCTAATCAGTAAAAATCAAAAGGGGGCTGGAGTAATCACCATGGTGGACCTACTTTTTAGCACAAAGAAGCCATTCCTTTCAAATTCCCAGAAATAGCTGGGTGAGACATTAAGAGGGCTGGAAGGTCCTGCAGGTGGAAAAAGGAGTGAATTCCTGCTGTTAGTGTAACAGATGAGGGACCCCAAGGAAGCTGGGCTGTAATTTATTCAAAAGCATTTACTGAGCACCTAATATGTCGCAGTACTATGCTATATATATTTTTAAAGCATTTTCAAAAAATAAATAAAAGTCAATGTATTTTACCTGGAAGTGTTGTCTAAAATCATAGAGTTCCCTCTGTGCAGCATCTCATCCAACACTTCCCTCATGATGAATAACAGCCACTTCTGGGGGTAAACACACACACACACCCCCACAGGTTTTCTTACCCTATTCATATTCTCGTGTAAGCAGAAATAAATACTAAAATCCCCTTGGGTGCTCTTTTTTTGGGACTCCACATCCAGCATAAGTGATAAAACAGAAAAGATTTTCTTACTTTCCTTCCAAATTCCAAGTGGTATTAAAAAAGAAAAAGTTCCAATAAAATTGGTGGTGCAGTCAGTTTTGGTGGAGGCATAGCCTTTTCTTTTGTGTTCCAACATACTGCCTACCTCTAATTTGGTCTACCCACAGAATGTCACTGCCAAGGTTGAAAACAGAGGGTCTTATTCAGATACATTCTTTGTATCTCAAAACAACTTTAAGTATTGAGATAATCTGATACAGGTGGCATCTCTTCTTAAATCTTCTTGTTTTGCCCTTGGACTTTGATCACTTACATGGATACAACTAAACCTCTGAAAATGCCTCACAGAAATGTATTACTGTCCACATATGTAAAATCTCCACTTCACTTTCAAGTTCAGTTTCAGTCCTACAAACCAACACAACATAAAAACAAGAAGAAAAAAACCAGGATACTCTGCCAACAAAGTCAACTTTTCCCACAAGATCCAAATATTCCAGATTCATAGTACACATAAAACTTTTTATACTATTGCATTGGAAAGGATATTTCCAGTGATCCACCCATCTATTTTTTTAGCCTTTAACTATCTTAATACCCTGGATCATGCTTCACACTCTAATTCTCACCCTGGACATGAAACTGTTAAGCTCCAAGTGACAGATTTTTATTTTAGGAAAAGAAGCTCACTACTTAACAAAATAAATTCATTTCCTCACATCTATTAAAGTTTGAAAACTGCTCCTCCCTCTCCAAGACTCCGTCTCTAGACTAAGCTAATGTTTAATCCGCAGTTTACCTGGTACTCTGACAAAAGTTACATCAGAAGGCCTTTGTTAAATGTCCTTTCAGAGGTGATAAATGAGAAAGCACTTTAACAGAAATTGATTTTAGCAAAACTCTTGGCCCACTTTAAAGCTTTTTCTTACACCGTTCTCTGTCCTGATATAAAGTCCAGGTTGACAACTAAGAAAAGACAGTGACATTTTAGAGGCAAAAATATCTCTGATCCTATAATTAAAAAGATGATATTGAGAATTGATATTTTCATTACAATTAAAATAGTATTGCTTGATCTAATGATCAAATGAAATTATGTGAGAATGAATTCTAACCCATTAGTGGGCCTTGTGTTTTAAACATTAGAATTTGCTCACTCTCATGAAAATTATTTAACTTGTGTATCTGTTTAGAGGTAATCCTTTTTTTTTTTTTTTTGGTAAAGAAGAAGGTTCTGTGATTTGGGGATAGTGAAATTCATTTTTAATTATTTGATATAAATAATGCATTTTGATAAGTGTTAGTGACTCTGACACTTTTTAAAACTCAATGTTTGTTTGACACCTGGAAAAGTGATCTCTCAATTTTAAATATTATGATGGAAAAGCAATTACATTTTAAGTAATGTTTTGATTATACCTCCCCTGAGCTTTATGGAAGTAAATCTGAGCTCTTGTTGCTGTTTAACACCTATCATGAAGCATAGATTTAATGAAGAACTGAATATGATAATATCATACCCAAATATTGGAGGTGGAAATAGCAACTATGATTCTTGCTTCAACTATGCTAACAACATAAACAGTTTTGCTTTTTATGATTAAACTGAATGGTCAGTTTAATACAAAAAAATGACGACTGTGGTGAGATCAATCAAAATAGTCAAACTTTTTAACAGTATCGTTCACATTTACATTAGTCAAGGTTCCCAAAACTTTAATTATAAAACCTTTTTTTATCAGTTCATGACAAAATTTTTCAAACTTAAAAGAACACAAAATGAGCGATAATTGAAAACATCAAGAAATACCAAGAAATTGAGGCTGAATATACAAGAGAGGGTTATGTTAAAATAGATGTTAAGTAGAGCTTGGTTTAGGCAGCATAAAAATCATAATTTAAATATTTTTTCTAATAGAAAAACATGTGAATAGGCTCTTGTGTTCTTATGTAAACTGGCATAAATATGCTTGTATATTTTATAAAACGTAAGTGCCAGGATCCAAATGGCAAGTTTTAGCAGGTGTAGGATTCACGGCCAGTTTTGTGGTTTATCACATCTCCCCTTACAGGAAATGAAAGTGGAAAAAAGAAAAAAAAAGCAGAAGCTGTGAATCTGGTCAAGGGCAATTGATGCTTATAAGTACACACTTAACTTTCCTGGCTGGCATTCTACAACCTTGCCTGTATCATAACAAACTGAAAAATCACTTCTACAGACAATTTTGTCATAAGGCAATGACACAGCCCTATCCTTATACAGGAGGTGGCTAGAGACAAGGCAAGCAAGGATAAAAAACGGAGCTCAATTTAATAAAATGTGTATACGATATTTTGTTAAGGAAGTAAATTTTTATTATTATTATCTATGATAATAAATTTAAACTGGAAAATTAGGGCCATTTTTTAATCATTAGAATGGGAAGAAAAATCAAATTTGCTTTAATAAGTAGAAAAGGACAAATGTGAACTTTAGCATTGTTCAGAAAAAAAGAAAAACACATGACTTTCAGTAAGGCCACTGAGTATAGCTGTGTGGGTTGAGGCCTGCAAGAGGGCGCCCAGCCCAGCAGACTTGGGGGAGCTAGAACCCAGCTGGCAGTCCTTTTGCAAAGCCATATACCCTAGTGGGTGCATCTGCCTGCCCAGAGGAAGAGGCACTTTTTTCTAATTCTCAAAGAAGCAGAGGCCGTGTTTAAAAACAATACACAGTGTTTCCTAGGGCTGTGGGAAGTAGAAAACTACATATACTGCTAGAAGAGTATAAATGAATACAAATTGTCTGAAGGGCAATTCAGAAATAGGTACTGTATAAGATGCCTTCACATGTTCCATATTCTTTGAAACTTCAAGTCCCACCTATAGAAATTTATTTGAAGATTAGCTGTAGTGGTGGTTTTTAAAATGTGTCTATAAAATGTTTTACTCTCCTCCCTTCAAAAGATGGAGCCTAAGAGATCATGCCACTGCACTCCAGCCTGAGCGACAGAGCGAGACCCTGTCTCCAAAAAAAAAAAAAACATGGAGCCTAATTCCCCGCTTTTTTTTGCAGTGCCGCCATCTCGGCTCGCTGCAACCTTTGCCTCCCAGGTTCAAGAGACTCTCCAGCCACAGCCTCCCAAGTAGCTGGGATTACAAGCGCGCCACCACGCCCGGCTAATTTTTGTAGTTTTAGTAGAGACGGGGTGTCACCATGTTGGCCAGGATGGACTCGATCTCCTGACCTCGTGATCCGCCCGCCTGGGCCTCCCAAAGTGCTGGGACTACAGGCGTGAGCCACTGTCCGTGCCCGGCCTTCCTCTCCTCTTGAATGTGGACCAGACTTAGTGAGGACTAACTTCTAAAGGATACCATGTGAAGGAGCTGCTGCCATATGAATTTGAAGGCTAAATTGTAAAAAAAAAAAAAAAAAAAAAAAAAAACCCAGCTTGCATCTGTGTATCTGGCTTTCCCTCTCTCACATCACTTGCTCTGGGGGGAGGTGAGTTGCTGTGTTGTAAGAAAACTCAAACAGCCTGTGGGCAGATCTATGAGGGGAGGAACTGCGGCCTTCTGCCAAAATCAACATTAACTAGCCAATCATGACAGCCAAGTCTTTAGCCTCTGACAAGACTTCAGGTGACTGCAGACTCTGTGACATCTTGATTACGACCTTACAGGAGATTCCAACCCAGAACTACCCAGTCATGTATGTCTCTATTTTTATTTATTTATTTATTTATTTTGAGACCAAGTTGTTAATGCAGAAATCCAAATAATTAAGACAGAATATACATAATAGATATCCAAATAATTAAGACAGAAAATACATGTAGATATTTATTGCAATGATGTCTATAATGGCAAAGAGTAAGAAAAAAAACATTCAATATGAGAAAGTGATTAGAGTATTATCACATGACTATCCATAAGATAAAATAAGAGGTTGACATTAAAAATGTTATTCTAAAAAATATAGAGAATATCAATACTAAGTGAAAAGTAATTTCTAAACTATTAGGCACAGTATAATTTTTTTCTTCTTTTCTTTTTTAAATTTATTAATACATAGTAGATGTACATGTTTTGGTGAACACGTGACAATCTACTACATTCATAAAATTTGTAAAGATCAAATCAGCTTAATTGGGATATCCGTCACCTTAAATGCTTGCCTTTATACTAAAAATTATTCCCTTCCAGTTATTCTGAAATATACAATAGATTATTGTAATCTATCATCGCCTTACTGATCTATCAAACACTAGTTATTACTTCTTCTATCAAACTGTATATTTACACCCATTAATCAACCTGTCTTCATCTCTCCACCCCTCTGTGCTTCCCAGCCTCTGGTAACCACCAATCTACTCTATCTTCTCTATCTTCATGAGATCCACTTTTTAAGCTCCCACATGAGTGAGAAATATGCAGTATTTGTCTTTCTGAGCTTAGCTTATTTCACTAAAATAATGACTTCTAGTTCCATCTGTGTTGCCGCAAATGACAGGATCTTATTCTTTTTCATGGCTGAAAAATATTCCATTGTGTATACATACCACCTTTTCTTTATCCATTCATCCATTGATGGATACTTAGGTTGCTTCCAAATCTTGGCTATATGAATAGTGCTGCAATAAACATGGGAGTGCAGATATCTCTTCGATATATTGATTTCCTTTTTTTAAATTTCTTTTTTGGATATATACCCAATAGTGGACTTACCAAATCATATGGTAGTTCCATATGGTAGTTCCATTTTTAGTTTTTTGGGGAATCTCCATACAGTTTTCCATAGTGGCTGTGCTAATTTACATTTCTGCCAACGGTGTGCAAGGCTTGCCCTTTCTGCACATACTTGCCAGCATCTGTTATTCCCTGTCATTTTTTTTTTTTTTTTTTTTGAGGCAGAATCTCACTCTGTCTCCCAGGCTGGTGTGCAGTGGTGCGATCTCCACTCGCTGCAATCTCTGCCTCCCAGGTCTGAGAAATTCTCCTGCCTCAGCCTCCCAAGTAGTTGGGATACAGGTATGCGCCACCATGCCTGGCCAATTTTTGTATTTTTAGTAAAGACGGGGTTTCGCCACATTGGCCAGGCTGGTCTTGAACCCGTAACCTCAGATGATCTGCCTGCCTTGGCCTCCCAAAGTGCTAGGATACAGGCATGAGCCACTGTGGTGCCCAGCTCCCTCTCCTCTTTATAAAAGCCATTTTAACTGGGGTGAGATGATATCTCATGGTGGTTTTTCATATATCTCTTAGTCATTTGTATGTCTTCTTTTGATAAATATCTGTTCAGATCTTTTGCCCAATTTTACATCAGATTATTTGGAATTTTTTGCTATTGAGTTGTTTAAGCTCCTTAAATATTCTGGTTATTAATCCCTTGTCATAGGTTTGTCTCTTCACTTTGTTGATTGTTTCTTTCACTGTGTAGAAGCTTTTAGGCTTGATATGATCTCATTTGTCCATTATTGCTTTGGTTGCCAATGCTTTTGAGGTCTTACACAAAAAATCTTTGCCCAGACCAATGTCCTGGAGTGTTTTCCCAATGTTTTCTTCTAGTAGTTTCACAGTTTCAGGTCTTAGATTAAATCTTTGATTCATTTGATTCATTTTTATTTGATTTTTGTATATGATGGGAGATAGGGGTCTAGTTTCATTCTTCTGCATATGGATATCCAGTTTTCCCAGCAGCATTTATTGAAGAGAATGTTTTTTCCCCATTCTTTGTTCCTGACACCTTTATTGAAAATGAGCTGGCTCTAAATATCTGGATTCATATCTGGATTCTCTATTCTGTTCCACTGGTCTAGGTGTTTGTTTTTATGCCAGTACCATGCTAATTTGATTACTATAGCTTTGTAGTATATTTTAAAGTCAGGTAATATGATGCCTCCAGTTTTGTTCTTTTTGCTCAAGATTGCTTTGATTATTAGGGGTCCTTTGTGGTTCCACATAGATTTTAGGATTTTTTTTTCTATTTCTGTGAAGAATGTCATTGGTATTTCAGAAGGGATTTCATTGAATCTATAAATTGCTTTGTGTAGAATTGTCATTTTAACAATATTAACTCGGCCGGGCATGGTGGCTTACGCTTGTAATCCTAGCACTTTGGGAGGTTGAGGCAGGCAGGAGGTAAGGAGTTTGAGACCAGCCTGGCCAACATGGTGAAACCCTGTCTCTACTAAAAATATAAAAATTACCCAGGCATGATGGTGGGTGCCTTTAATCCCAGCTACTTGGGGGGCTGAGGCAGAAGAATTGCTTGAACCTAGGAGGCAGAGGTTGCAGTGAGCTGAGACCTCACCATTGCACTCCAGCTTGGGTAACAAGAGTGAAACTCTGTCTCAAGGAAAAAAAATATATATATATATTAACTCTTCCAATCTGTGAGCATGAACTATCTTTTCATCATTTTGTGTGTCCTCTTCAATTTCTTTAATCAGTGTTTTATAGTTTTCCTTGTATAGATCTTTCACTTGTTTGCTATTGGCATATATAAATACTACTAATTTTCCTATGTTGATTTTGTATCTTGCAACTTTACTGAATTTGTTTATCAGTTCTTATAGTTTTTTGATGGGGATCTTAGGTGTTCCTCAGTATATCAGGTCATCTGTGAACAAGGCTAATTTGACTTCTTTCTTTCCAGTTTGGATGTCCTCTATTTCTTTCTCTTGTCTGACTGCTCTAGCCAGGACTTATAGTAGTACTATGTCAAATAACAGTAGTGAAAGTGGGTATCCTTGTCTTGTTTCAGCTCATAGAGGAAAGGCTTTTGATTTTTCCCCATTCAGTAGGATGTTAGCTAAGGCACAATATAACTCTATTATGTAAAAAAATTTCTAAAATCTATATGTCTATGAAAGACTAGAGGAGTCTAAAATAAAATGTTAGCAGCAATTTTCTATGGGTAACATAGAGTTAAACTTTTTTATTTTCCCCTGCTGGTTTATATTTTCCAACTTTTCTACAATGAGTATGTATTACCTTTTTCAAGATAATAAGAATTTTGTCAAGATTAAAAGATACTGCGACACAGAGGCAAGATAAATAGAACAGTAGAAGGTCAATGGTCCTGATGTTTGAGTTCCTTCTACGGTATTCCTAGAAGTGAACTTGCCCTTTATGTTTCACCACTCTTAGTGAGCTGGAAACTTGTTGTTCCCCAAAATGACCCATTTCATCTTTAAGCAGCTTTTACTGAGAGAAAGTTATTCTTTTTTTTTTTTTTTTTAGATGGAGTCTCACTCTGTCACCCAGGCTGGAGTGCAGTGGTGCAGTTCGGCTCACTGCAACCTTTGCCTCCTGGGTTCAAGCGATTCTCCTGCCTCAGCCTCCCAAGTAGCTGGGATTACAGGTGCCTGCCACCACGCCCTGTTAATTTTTTGTATTTTTAGTGGAGATGGGGTATCGCAGTGTTGGCCAGGCTGGTCTGGAACACCTGACCTCAGGTGATCTGCCCGCCTTGGCCTCCCAAAATGCTGGGATTACAGGCGTAAGCCACCATGCCCAGCCGAAAGTTATTCTTTATGTGAGCTAAAATTATTCTTTCTATCAAAGTTTCTGAGAAGGAACATACTCTTAAGTGTGAAATAATCTCTGAAGAATTAAAGGAAATTTTCATTTATCTTATTCTATATATAAAACTTTTATCAGTAAAGCAACAGATCTTATTAACTTTTGATGGCTTGATATTATCAATAAATTCAGAGTTCATTGACAAATAAAAACCATCAATTCTTTTTTTCCTGATTTTGACACAAATACTACACCAATGTCCACTTAATAAAAATAATTAACACTTATGCAGTAATAAAAAATTTGGACATAAGTCAAGGATTTTATTTTACTCATTTAAAGTGATTTAATATTCAGTAAGATGGCTCCTGGGAATCTATTTTTAACAACATTCTTTTCAGATAATTCTGGACCTCAAATTGCACTTTGAAAAACTCTGTTTTAAAGATTTTACAAAAGTTACACACCCTCAGAAAAACACATGCACAAAGTTTGCACACAATTTTAAGAGTTTTATAAACCTTCTCAAACCCATCATTTGTCCATATTCCAACAATTGTGGAGCAAGTCTTACATTCAGTATCTTTCTTCAGTAAACAGCAATTGGGGCATATACTATATACCAGAGAAGGTTAAGACTTCATAAACTCTCCAAAGTCATGGGTCTACTTGAGAGCTTCTGTGTTTTGGCATAATTGATCTCTTGACTGCATAAATCCCTCTATTCACCCCAACTTATTCCAAGTTATGGCATACATAAGAAATGACCATTGTTGTAGGGCTAAGTAGAAAAGTCCAAAAGCAGGGCATTCCAGCTTTCCAGCCTCAGTCCAGCCATTGGGAGGGATCAATATGACTGCCCATGTGTAACCCATATGCAGTATACTTGTAGGGCCCACCATTTAGGGATTGTTGGCATGGGTGAGATATTTGAAAAGCCAAAAATATATTTTGAAAGATATGTTAACTTATGCAATGATAAAAGGTGATGTCTAGGTAACTACATAAATTGGTTCTTTTTAGGATGCACAATCCATGAAATAATAGCATGAGCTCTCAAATGATACTTAGAGGGTGTCAGTATTCCAACAATTGTGGAGCAAGTCTTAGATTCAGTATCTTTATTCCATAAACAGCAATTGGAGCATATACTATATACCAGAGAAGATTAAGGCTTAATAAACTCCAAAGTCGTGGATTTCTTCACTTTTGACATTTGACAGAGTTTTTGTGAGAAGAGGACAAAATGAAAAAGGAGAATAATGGGCATGTTTACATGATTTGGGGAGTTTGAAGTAGAAAGTTTAGACCAATAGATATTACCTCTGAATAACCTCATTGTGCCATTCAGTCAGGCTGCATATATATATCATAGACTCAAGAATATTAGGAAACATTAAGCTAAAGAATAAAACCAGAGACTTCTGGCTTAAGGAGATAGATTGAAAAGAATTTTCTGCTGCTTAATACTTAACAAAGATAACTGCATTAAAAATAAAAAGATTATCTGACATTCACTAAGTGCTTACTCTATGCCAGGGATGGTTCTAAAAGCTTTATCTGCATTAAGTGCTTTGATCTTAACAGCAACGCTTTGAGGAAGGCACTTGACAGACTGGAAAACTAACATAGAAGCTAAATAGCTTCACGCCCAGTCTCATTGAGCAAAGAGCGAGACTTGAAGCCAGCAAGTGTGGCTCTAGAGTTTATGCCTTTATCTATTCTACTACAGCTGCCTATCATAGGTTTTTTAAAAAATGTAAAAACCGGCCGGGTGCGGTGGCTCACTCCTGTAACCCTAGCACTTTGGGAGGCTGAGGCGGGTGGATCACAAGGTCGGGAGATCGAGACTATCCTGGCTAACACAGTGAAACCCCATCTCTACTAAAAATACAAAAAATTAGCTGGGCGTGGTGGCGGGCGCCTATAGTCCCAGCTACTCAGGAGGCTGAGGCAGGAGAATGGCGTGAACCAGGGAGGCAGAGCTTGCAGTGAGCCGAGATTGCGCCACTGCATTCCAGCCTGGGCGACAGTGTGAGACTCTGTCTCAAAAAATAAAATAAAATAAAATAAAAAATGTAAAAACCAGCCAGGCATGGTGGATCACGCCTGTAATCCTAGCACTTTGGGAGGCTGAGGAGGGCAGATCACTTGAATCAGGAGTTTGATACCAGTCTGGCCAACATGGTGAAACCCCGTCTCTACTAAAAATACAAAAATTAGTCGGGCATGGGGGCAAACGCCTGTAATCCCAGCTACTCAGGAGGCCGAGGCAGGAGAATTGCTTGAACCCGGGAGGTGGAGGTTGTGGTGAGCCAAGGTTGTGCCACTGCACTCCAGCCTGGGCAACAGAGCCAGACTCCAGCTCAAAAAAAAGAATAGTAAAAACCAACATGAAGAAAAATTCATCAAGCCACCAAATAAAGAAAGAGGCACAATGTATTGCAATAAAGAAGCAGCTGATTCTGGAATGAAGTGACGCTAAAGGACATAGCTTGGCTCTGAATCCAGCCCTCAGCTTTCCAGAAACCATGTTGGTAAGTTCACAAAAATCTGAGAATTCCCACAAAAACTTCCAAATATGGAGGAAAGGAAACTGAGTTGGTTTTATTACCCTATTCCTCTTCTGACTGAGGAACAGTGGCAAGGACTAAAGGGGAGAAATGGGTGAGACAGAAAACAATCCAAAGCCCAAGAACACTCACTCCCCATTGTGAATGGTATTGAGCCCTAATTAGTTGGAGTGAACCCTTGTACAGGATATGTAATAAAAGTTCAGGAAAAAAGTGCAGGACCCCAGGTCATCTAACACAGCCTGCACACTCCTCCCATTCCCCACCATTTCCTTAAGGTACAGATAAAGAGTAAGAACATATAGAATCTCAAGCAGTCGGTGGGAAGCAAAAGAAAAAAAAAAAAGAAAATCCAGAAAAAAATAAAATTCAAAACACAGGAGATTCCTTTTGCATTGTTCATCTTAATGAGAACACTGAAACTAAAAAAAGATCTTAACGATGTGATTATACAACCAAGTCGGATGAAAGAAATATGGTGGTTAAAGTGAAACAAAGTTAATAGATAGGGAAAACAAATGAAGTCAGCACCAAAATAAGGATAATTGAGGTCTCTGAAGCAAAGACCCCACAAAACGAACAGAAGATATATTCAAATATAGTATATTACAAGAAAATGTCTCTAAAATAAAGGAAAAATCTATAATTGCAGGATACAGGCTATTCTTCAGTAAAATTTAAAATGGAAATCTTAACACTCATCCTAGCAGTTACTGAACTGCAGGTTACAGACATACACACACACACACACACACACACGCACACACACACATGCACACGTATATATATTCTACTCAGAAAGAAAAATCAGTTTAGACTTTTAATCTAATTTACAGCAAAGTTCAGTGCTAGTAGTCAATGAAGCAACATTTACCAGGCTCTGAGGAAAAGCATGACCCATAATTATTATAGTCAGGAAAGATATTCAAATATGAATGCAACAGGTAGAATTCTCAAAGATAAAGAAAGCACTTAGAAATACAGCCCCCTGGGACCTTCTGAAAAAAACATTACTTAAATCTAGCCTTTAAGAGTTGAAGCAAAATACAAAATTCTCTATAGAGAATATATATATCAGAATATAGAATATAAACATACTCAGAATATGTAAAATATATATTATATATACATTCTACTTGGAGAGAAAAATCAGTCTAGACTCTTAATCTAATTTACAGCAAAGTTCAATGCTAGTAGTCAACGGAGCAACATTTACCAGGCTCTGAGAAAGACCATGACCCATAATTATTATAACCAGGCAAAATATTCAAATATGAATGCGACAGCTAGAATTCTCAAAGATAAAGTTACTTAAGAATACAGTCGGCTGGGTGTGGTGGCTCACGCCTGTAATCCCAGCACTTTCAGAGGCCAAGGTGGGCAGATCACAAGGTCAAGAGATCAAGACCATCCTGGCCAACATGGTGAAACCCCGTCTCTACTAAAAATACAAAAATTATCTGGGTGTGGTGGCGTGCACCTGTAGTCCCAGCTACTTGGGAGGCTGAGGCAGGAGAATTGCTTGAACCCAGGAGGTGGAGGTTGCAGTGAGCCAAGGTCCCGCCACTGCACTCCAGCCTGGCAACAGAGCGAGACTCCATCTCAAGAAAAAAAAAAAAAAAAAAAAAGAATACAGCCCTCTGGGCCCTTCTGAAAAAAAATTACTTAAATCTAGCCTTTAAGAGTTGAAGCAAAATACAGAATAGAGAAATAGGGAGCTGTGATAAAAGCTGATGGTGGCACTAAGTAAATTTAAACACAGAAATTAGTAAGAATGGGAATGTGTCCTATAGAAGAGAATGTTAACTTTATAAACCTGGGCATTAAAAAAAAAACAATAAGTAAATAAATTCAAGACATGAACTGGGGGGAAAGAGGCATTGTGAGGGTGTTCATGTCCCATCTTTTGTAACAAAGGGTCAATTTTTACTTCATTTTGTTTTTTAGAAACAGGGTCTCTTTCTCTCTCCAAAGCTAGAGTATAATGCCCCAATCATAGCTCACTGTAGCCTCAAACTCCTGGGCTCAAGCAATCCACCCACCTCAGCCTTCTGAGTAGCTGGAACTACAGGTATGCACCACCACACCCAGCTAATTATTAAATATTTTTTTAGAGATAAGGTCTTGCTATGTTGCTGAGGTGTAGTCTCGAACTCCTGGCCTCAAACTCCTGGCCTCAAGTGGTCCTCCCACCTCACCCCCCAAAGTGCTGGATTACGGGTATGAGCCACTGTGCCCAATCAATTCTTACTGCTTTTAAGAGGAATGTTTTTTAAAAAATAAAACTCATGGCAATGCTGATTTTAAAAAGTTGTTTTAAAATTATTTTTTAGCCTTTTGTATGTCTCCTGAGGCGTATGTATAAACCGTAAATGTGTGTGTGTGTGTGTGTAACAATTTGTTGTCTTCCATTTCAGCTTTTCTTTCTTGTCAGCATTCAAGTTAAATTTAGTGCTTTTATATTAGAAGTAGCATCTAGTGTATGATTCTAGTTTAATGCAAAAAGTTTCACGTATCTAGTTATCTCTGCCTACTTGCATAGAAAAATAATTTAACTGATATTCACCTGATTGTTGATGTTATTTCTAGTTCTGGGATTTCGGTTTTTTCTTTCATGTTTCTCTTTTTCTGTATTAGTTCTTTATAATCAATATGTATCATTTTTAAAAACAAAAGAGTAATTAAGTTGAAGGAAGGAAAATAGGAAGAAAGGAAATATGTTAAGTTCTGGTTGCTAGAAATGTGAAACATTAAATTCTTTGTATACTATTGTCTGTCTTAAATTTCCAATAAATAAAACATTTTTAAAAGGGTAATAGAACTGTAGATAGAACTAATGTTCTCTCACACACAAAATCAGAGGATTATGTACAAAAAGTACTTGGCTGGAATTAACTGATTATATTTTAAGATGTCAGGAATTGAAGGCCTTCTAATTCAGCCTCTGTGTTCTATGTCTTGTACATTGTTACTAAGCACTCCCACATGGTTGTCTGCTTTTCCTTCTACCTCCCATCTCTCCATGGCTGCCACAAAAACCTCTAGAAAGTACTGAAATTTGACCCTAGAGAATTCTTCCCTTCAAGGACACCCAGAATGAAACAAGTCAATACAATTCTGAATTCTCTTGTGGTTTTCTCTGCGTTAGTAGGCCAATGCAAACTAGCAAAAATATGTTTAATCTGTTATATCAGAAACTAACACATAGGCTGGCGTGGTGGCTCACGTTTGTAATCCCAGCACTTTGGAAGGCAGAGGGGGGCGGATCACTTGAGGTCAAATTCGACACCAGCCTGGCCAACATGGTGAAACCCCATCTCTACTAAAAACACAAAAACTAAGCCGGGCAAGGTGGCGGACGCCTATAATTCTAGCTACTCGGAGCTGAGGCAAGAGAATCGCTTGAACCCAGGAGGCAGAGGTTGCAGTTAGCTGAGATCACACCACTGTGCTCCAGCCTGGCGATAGAGTGGATAACAACAACAACTAACACATAAATAAACCAACCAATCAACCAACCAAACAAAAAAAGAACAGAAGTCTTAGTATTTCTCTTCCTCAGACTGCCTTGGGTTGAAAGTCACAGGTGGTATGGAGAAGACAGATTTTTCTCCTCCATTCTTTCCTTAAGATTTGTAAGAAGCACCCCACTGCCCCTTCATGTAAGTTGCTGCCATCAAAACGATTACTTTTTATTTTTATTTTTATTTTTTTGGGGGGACGGAGTTTCGTTCTTGTTGCCCAGGCTGGAGCGCAATGGCATGATCTCAGCTTACCGCAACCTCTGCCTCCCAGATTCAAGTGATTCCCCTGCCTCAGCCTCCTGAGTAGCTGGGATTACAGGCATGCGCCACCACACTTGGCTAATTTTGTATTTTTAATAGAGACGGGGTTTCACCATGTTGGTCAGGCTGGTCTCAAACTCCTGACCTCAGGTGACCCGCCCGCCTCAGCCTCCCAAGTGCTGGGATTACAGGCGTGAGCCACCGCACCCGGCCAAAACGATTATTTTTATACCTTTTGGAAAACTCTTAAAAAAAAACTTTAGCAGGCAGAAGCAATTATTGTGGAGCTAATGGTTAAATCTATATGTAGAGTGTCACAGAGTCAGGATATAGATTGAATGAAATGCTTATGGCATCCTAACATTTATTTCTTTTTGAACATTCATCATCATGTCCTCCTGTTTTTCTGTTTTTGTTTTTTTTGTTTGTTTGTTTTTTTTTGTTGGTTTTGAGACAGGATCTTGCTCTGTGGCCCAGACTAGAGTGCAGTGGTGTGATCTCAGCTCAACCTCCCAGGCTCACGCCATCTTCCCATCTCAGCCTCCTGAGTAGCTGGGACTACAGGCGTCTACCACCATGCCCAACTAGTTTTTATATTTTTTGTAGAGAGACAAGGGTCTCATTGTATTGCCCAGTCTGGTCTCAAACTCTTGGCCTCAAGTGATCCTCTCATCTTGGCCTACCAAAGTGCTGGGATTATAGGTGTGAGCCACTGTAACTGGCCTTAACTTGTTTTCTTAAAACTGTTGGCAATAAAGTCATACTTCCATTTGGTTGTAAAGATAAAAAATTTTTTTCAGGTAAAAGTACTTTTGCTTACCAAAAATTAATAATCTGATGGTATGCTATTCTCTGATATTAAATATTTGACAATTATAGCTGCACAACTGGCACTATTGTGATCAGAGAAGTGAAATTTGGACACAATACTCAATTTTATTTCCTACTAAGTATATTTGCCCTCTTCATACAACCATCCACATTATCTGTTTAGTAGAAGTTAGTTCACTACCAAAGAATATAAATAGTCATCCTAAATACATGAACACAGACTAAATCATATTTCAAAGATTCTTGTCCTGAGAATCAACAGAGCCCCTCTGCAGAATGAACCTCAGGTTAAATGAGAGTGAAGTGTGCTAGTTACTGCCTTTGCTCACTTAGGAGTGGAAACAATGAGAAGTAAGTATCATTCTTCCATTCATTCATTCAACAACTATATATTGAGCACTAGTCAGCCTCTGGGCTTTTTCTATTCTCTTTTTCTAACAATGGCACCTATATTTTTCTTTGGAGAATAATCCCCTCCCCTTTCCCACTCACAGTCTACTTGGCTCCACTTGGGCGAATTTCCTTTCCTGGCGCATGACCAGGATTGGTCCATTAGTGGTTTTTTTTTTAAATCCTTTTGGCCATAATTATTGGTTCAAGGATGGCACATACCCAAAAATAGACCCATGGGACTCAATTCTGGACTTTTACTGGAAATATTGAGAAAGAGAAGCTTTTTTCCATTGGATTGGCTAAGTTGAAAAACTGAATCCTGGGCCACCAGCAGCCATTTTTCTACCTCAGTTTCATTTGGTTGGCAACTCAGATCCCTTAAGCTTGTAAAGTTAGGCCCTTCTTCCAGCCCTAAGGGACCATAATTGGTCTTTCAGGTAGTGGTTGTCAACCTTGGCTGCACATTAGAATCACCTGGGAAACACACAAACAAACAAATCTGATGCCCAAGTCACACCTCAGAGCAATTTCACTCAGAATCTCTGGAAATAAGTCTCAGGCCTCGGTACTTTCTAAGGCTCCCAAGGTGAGTTCCATGTGCAGCGAAGTTTGAGACACACTGGGGTAGGCATAGGACAAAGTTTTAGCTAACATGTATGGACCCAATTCTAGGCAAAAGGATGTTAGAGATAGCCCATTTCTTCTGGAAAATATTCTTCCCAGGTGAAAAGACTGAGCCCATGAGGCATCCTTTCTCTACCATCCTTTCTTCCTGCTTTGAGCCAGTTCAGTGAAGAACAGTGGCAGCTGAATTGTTACCATGAGATTGCAAACAAGCCTTAGGGACATAAGAGATGGTAGAATAGATAGGGAGAAAGAACCAGGGTCCTTGGGAATATTGCTGTTTTTTTCATAAAACATGGGACTGCCTACTTTCACTATTCTTATTGTGTGACATAATCAGATGTCTTACTGCTTAATACACAGTTAGTTGGGTACTTCATTACTTTCTGTTGAAAATATTCTTAACAAATAACTAACCGATAACTTACTTAAGAAATAGGTTTTTGGCCAGGAACACCTGTAATCCCAGCACTTTGGGAGGCCAAGGTGGGTGGATCACTTGAGGCCAGGAGTTCGAGACCAGCCTGGCCAACATGCCAAAACCCCATCTCTACTAAAAATACACACACACATACACACACACACACACACACACTAGCTGGGCATGGTGGTGCACACCTGTAATCCCAGATACTTGGGAGGCTGAGGCACAAGAATTGCTTGAACCTGGGAGACAGAGGTTGCAGTAAGCCGAGATCAGGCCAAAGTGAGACTATGTCTCAAAAAACAAACAACAAACAGAAAAGAAATTGGTTTTCTATGTGAAATACTATGCAGCTATAAAAAAGAACAAGATCCTGTCCTTTATGGCAATGGATAGAGCTAGAGGCCATTATCCTAACCAAACTAACACAGGAACAGAAAACCAAATACTGCATGTTCTCACTTGTAAGTGGAAGCTAAACAACAAGAACACATGGATACTAGGAGGGGAACAACAGACACAGGAGCCTACTTGAGGGTGGAGGGTGGAAGGAGGGAGAAGATCAGAAGAACTACCTACTGGGTATTAAACTTATTACCTGGGAGCTAAATAATGTGTACACAGAGAGAGTGGAATAATAGCCACTGGAGACTTGGAAGGGCAGGGGGTTGGCAGGGAGTTAAGGGATGAGAAATTACTTCACAGGCATAATGTATACTATTCAGGTGATAGTTAAACTAAAAGCCAAGCTTTCACCACTATGCATGTAACAAACATGACATTTTATCCATGTAACAAAATGACACTGTGCTCCCTAAATCTATAAATAAATGGTTTTCTGCTCTCTGCAGGCATTTTTAAGCTTATCTTTTCTTTCTTTAAATATGATTTGCTTTACACATGTATATTTATACTTCTATTTACATTAAAATAGTGTCTATATCAACATTTGAAATACAGACAGGTCTGGTTTTGTTGCCTATTGTTTCTGCTGGTTCTTGCTCATGGGAACTTATTTCCTTGTGTACTTGATTATCATTGACTGCTGTTTTCCTTTGAAAAATTCTATGTGGAAAGTATTTGAGGCCTGAGATGTAAGTGGGTTTCTCCAGAGGGGATTCGTGTTTACTTCTGCCATGTTATACAGGGCAGTCTTAGAATATTTTAGGTTAAATTCAAGACTTGAATTTGTGGGGGGACCTCCCAAAAGATGTGAATTTTGCCTATAAGATCTCTTTCAGGACAGGCTGGAGGGTACAATTTCTGAGGGATAGCTTTTTTATTTCTTTTCCCCATACCCTGCTTTGTCCAATGCAAGATAACTTTCCTTTCAATTCTTGAAATCTCTTGAGGTTGGAGGAGTGGAAGGAGCAGAAAGGTTTATTATCAGTTCACTCTTACAGGTTTACACATGTGGTGGAACCTTTGAGGTCCCAAAATATATTAGGAATTTACTTGTTAGACTGCCCAGTGTTATGATAGATGGGCTCTGTTTCCTGTCCTTCACACTCCTCCAGACCTTGATACATTAAGCTAGTTTCAGCATCACAGCTTTGTTTCCTTTCTGATTATTCCCTTTACATGCATTTTGGCTTATTTCCTTACCATATTTTCAGCATTTTGATGCCTAAACATGCACACACACACACACACACACACACACACACACACGGCATTTGTAGTCATTTTCAGTAAGTTAGTATAAATATCTTGATAGCCACATTTCAAATATGGGGCTCATAGAGGCTACCATCTTACAAAAATATTTGTCGAATCCCTTCTCGCTTTCTATTCCTATGGATCCTGCCCTAATTGAAGTCACTGCTTCCTACCTGAATTGTTGAAATTGTCTTTTAAACAGTTTTCTTCATTTCCAATCATTCCCCATTAATTTCTTTTTCTACCCTGCTGACAAATACTTTGTAAAACGCTTACCTATCATGTGATTTCATTACTTAAAAATAACAATATAGGCTCCCTGTTGCCTAATAGAGGCCGCGCTCTAGTCTTTTCCCAACATAACTTGACTCATGTTCAACCACTTTCTTCTCTACACACTAAAGTATGATACTGATCCCTACCACCATACACTTTTGTACTTCCATACCTTTGTTCAAATGAACACTCTTTCTGGGCATGTACTATTCTCTGCATGCCAAATTTCTTCCTTCTTTGTGGACCAGGTCTACTGTCTTCTCTGAGACCAGCCCTTATTCACCCAGGGAGAACTAACGCTTTCTTCTACTATTCTACAATACCACATATGAATAGTTTATTTGCATGGTCATCTGTCAAAACAAAATGTGAGTCTCACATGCACACGTATGTTTATTGCGGCATTATTCACAATAGCAAAGACTTGGAACCAACCCAAATGTCCAACAATGATAGACTGGATTAAGAAAATGTGGCACATATACACCATGGAATACTATGCAACCATAAAAAATGATGAGTTCATGTCCTTTGTAGGGACATGGATGAAATTGGAAATCATCATTCTCAGTAAACTATCGCAAGAACAAAAAACCAAACACCGCATATTCTCACTTATAGGTGGGAATTGAACAATGAGATCACATGGACACAGGAAGGGGAATATCACACTCTGGGGACTGTTGTGGGGTGGTGGGAGGGGGGAGGGATAGCATCGGGAGATATACCTAATGCTAGATGACGAGTTAGTGGGTGCAGCGCACCAGCATGGCACATGTATACATATGTAACTAACCTGCACAATGTGCACATGTACACTAAAACTTAAGTATAATTAAAAAAAATGTGAGTCTCAATGAATTCAGGAAACAGGTTTTATTTAGTTTTAAAATGTTTAGCCATAAGCATGGTGCCTGCTACAGTGCTTAATAAATAAAGGAATAAAGACAGTTGACTTTATAAAATCTAGTGTGCAGTTTTTTGTTTTAAATTCTCCACTATGGCATAGTCATAGCATTTCAGAGTTAAAAGACACTTTAGAAGTCATTAGTACAATGGCTTTTATGAGTGTAAAAAATTAAGGCTCAAAATAGTTAAGTGTAAAAGTTGAAATCCACAAAAACTCAATGGATGTTTGTTTGGAAAATGAATACTATTTATTATTCACTGTTTACTGAACACCAGCCATTGCTAAGTATGTTACATATTTATTTTATTTCATTTTCCCCGTGATCCTATAAATTGAGGATATTTTCTTCATTGTATGCAGCATTTTATCAGTCATACCAACTATGTGATCTGAAATAATGCCACAGGTTCAAGTTATTGGACCTTTTCATGGCCCCTGGCACCTTCTCCTTCAGCCAGTTCCTGGCTGCCATGTAGAGGAAAAGGTTTTATTGCCTCCTTAACACCTTCTGGTTACTCTAGGCTTTTAATTTTTCTCCCCCAGGGCTGTTCCTGACTTAGAGGTTAGAGCTTGAGCCTCTGTGCACTTTCTGCTTTTATCAAAATGGTGGCAAATCATTTTGTAAAGCTGTCCCCACGCTTAAGGAGAGCTGCTTCTACATAGCAAACAATTCCTGTATTTGGAACTCTGGTTCCTTAAAGGGATCACATCCCTTTTATGTCTATTTTACACATATCTCCTCTCACATCATGTCAACCAGCTCTGAATGATTAATTGATTTAAACAAGCATCATCTGATTCCATGAGGAATCCTTCAGTCATAACAGTTTTTTGTCATAACAGTTTTCTAATTGTGTGGCTTATATCTCATTATACCAAGTTAACCTAGCTATATAAATATTTGAATTGTCACAAAATAATTTTCTAATTTTCTTAGCTTCAATAAGGCATTTTTTCTTTTTTTTGAGATGGACTCTCGCTGTTGCCCAGGCTGGAGTGCAATGGCGCGATCTCGGCTCACTGCAACCTCTGCCTCCCGGGTTCAAGCGATTCTCCTGCCTCAGCCTCCCAAGTAGCTGGGACTACAGGCACGTGCCACCACACCCAGCTAATTTTTGTATTTTTAGGCAGATGGGGTTTCACCATGTTGGCCAGTGTGGTCTCGATCTCCCGACCTTCTGATCCGCCCACGTCGGCCTCCCAAAGTGCTGGGATTACAGGCGTGAGCCGCTGTGCCTGGCCCAATAAGGCTTTTTAATGGAATTTGATAAGGCTGAAGTAGTTGGAGGCATTCAGTATTAGTAAATTAGACATTAGTTGGGAGCAATTAGCTATAGAAAGCCTTAGTAATTCAACCTAAATATCAATAACCACAAATTTGTTATTTTTAGTAAAAATATTGTTTTGCTTAACATAGGTATTGTTATCACTACCCTGCTCAAGTATTGATTAAGAAATCATAGAATTCTTTTTTTTTTTTTTTTTTTTGGCGACAAGCTCTCACTCTGTGGCCCAGGCTGGAGTGTGGTGGCATGATCACGGCTTACTGCAGACTCAACCTCCCCAGGCTCAGGTGATCCTCCCGCCTCAGCCTCCTGAGTATCTGGGACTACAGGCACATGCCACCAAGCCTGGTAGATTTCCCTTCCCCTCCCTTTCTGTCTCTTCCCCTTCCCATCCCCTCCCCTTCTCTCCCTTTACCTTTTTTCTTTTTTTTTTGAGACAGGGTTTCACTATGTTGGCCAGGCTGGTCTCAAACTCCCAAGCTCAAGGGATTCCCCCACCCTGGCCTCCCAAAGTGTTGGGATCACAGGTGTGAGCACACCCAGCCAAGAAATCATAGAATTCTTTTTTTTTTTTTTTTTTTTTTGAGATGGAGTCTCACTCTGTTGCCCAGGCTGGAGTGCAGTGGCACAATCTCAGCTCACTGCAACCTCCACCTCCCAAGTTCAAGTGATTCTCCTTCCTCAGCCTCCCGAGTAGCTGGGATTACAGGTGCCTGCCACTACACCCGGCTAATTGTTGTATTTTTAGTAGAGACGGGGTTTCACTGTGCTAGCCAGGCTGGTCTTGAACTCCTGGCCTCAGGTGATCTGCTCACCTTGGCCTCCCAAAGTTCTGGGATTATAGGCATGAACCATCATGCCAAGCCCGTAGAATTCTTAATAAATGGAAAAAGAATGAGAAAAATAGAAAATTACCATTAGGTAAACGTTGTAAGGCAAGAGCCATTGGTGTATGTCAAGATTAGTGAGCAAAAGCACAATGAGAGACAGCATATTCGTATTGTTGCAATGTGTCTCCTCACCAAATAATTATTTTTTCTTTTTCTGTAGAGACGTGGTTTTGCTACATCACCTAGGCTGGTCTCCTACTCCTCAGCTCAAAAGATCCACTGGCCTCAGCCTCCAGAGTAGCTGGGACTACAGATGCACACCACCAGGCCCGGCTTCACTAGATAATTTTTAATAACAGAGGGGAAAATAGTAGCTTCACAGTGAAGAAGCCTGGCAGACATCACATTAACCAAAGGAGCAAAGTTACCATCCCTAGTTAGAAAACCTACTGATGTTACATAAACTCTGATGTGCTGTACCCCCCTTCTGTGTTGTATTTTTTTCTAAAAATGCATAACTTCAATTTAATCCTAGAGAACTTCAGATGAACCCAAATTGCCGGACTTTTTACAAAAGAACTGACCAGTACTCTTCAAAGTGTCAAGGTCCTGAACAACAAAGAAGGACTGAGGAACCTACTGGAGGAGATTAAGGAATCCTGGATTAAAGTCTAGATGAGAACAACACATTAGCGAGAAAAGCAGCAAACTTGAATGAAGCCTGCCATTTAATAGAATTGTATCCATGTCAATTTCCTGGTTTCCATCATTGGACTATGGTCATAGAAGTTGTTAACATTAGGGGAGGCAGAGTGAGGGGTATACAGGAACTCTCCTATTTGTGTAATTTTTCTGTAAAGTCTAAATTATTTCAAAATAAAAGTTTAAAAGAAGTCATGGAATTCCAAAAATAAAATCTCTGGGCTGTTTCTCCTCTTCAATTTACTCCAATCAAGAGGAAATAACAGACTGAGCTGAGTCAGTGTCTTGCGCTCGTATTACCTGTCTGTACAAGGTGAATAGAGAAAAATGGTTCCTGTGCTAGGAGTTTACAATATGCCTGGTGTCCCCACTTCAACACTTGTAAATTCCCATCTTTTCAGCCCCTCTGTGTTGTTTACTTCTTTCACCTGGCATAGCCATTCAGAGTTTGTTTCTATCTTTCATAGCCAACAACCTGCACATAGACCGACAGAGCTAGCCATCTTTTAATTTCCTCTTATTTTTATTTTATTTTGATCTTATCTCTCATATCTGTATTCTTAAGTAATACCTTTCTTGTGTTCATGATATCTCTCTCTAAGTCTCCTTCATACTTCTAATCATAACCAATTGTATCAGCTGGCAGCTCACAGAGCCAATTAAAATACTTACCTTCACATCTTGATTTCCGCTTTTAAAAGTACATTTGTTTGGGAGCCTGAGGCAGGAGGATTGCTTGAGCCTGGGAGGTCGAGGCTGCAGGGAGCACTACGATTGTCGACTGCGTTCCAGCCTGAGTGACAGAGCAAGACATTGTCTTAAAAAAAAAAAAAAAGGACATTTGTACACATTGCTTTATTTGACTCTGTGAAGTAGCTGGCTCTGTTGCCATTGATCGTATATTCAGAAAAGGAAATAGAGTCGCCGAGATAACTGACTCCTCAAAGGAGAAAAACAAGATTGGGAGCCCCTCCAGCTGTGAGACCCAGAAGGCTCCAGTAGCACCGGAAAGCAGTTCCACAGGGTCCTGGCATCAGAAAAGGGCACTGCCCCCAGTGTGATGGCAGACGTGGGGAGCAGCCCTGTGTAGCAGCCAGTGAGACTTCCCTCCCACAGTTCCCAGAGGCCCTGTTGTACCCTCAGGCAGCTGAGTCCAGGGAGACTCAGCACAAAAAGCCGCAGAGACCTGGGCCCTTCATTTTCTTTCCTTATGAAAAATTGCCGCTTCGGAGCCCTCTCCATAGTTTCTCTGTTCCAGAGAGAAAACTCTCACAACTGTCATCGTTCCTATTTTTCAAAATGTAAAAATAAAGGAAAAACGTTTTGTTATTCCAGTGCATTTGCTCTCAAAATATACAGTGATTAGACTGAGCTATGTCATTTGGCAGTGAATGTTGGACCACCCTTTGGTTTTGTCTGTTCCATTCTTGAAGTCCATGGGAATTCTTGGCGCTCAGTTTTCTGTTTTCACAGCTTTGCCCCAGCACCTGTTCCAAAAGCAATTGAAAGGGCTTGACTGGATCCTGATTCTTAATTTTCAGCTCACAAGCAAGAATGTTTAGGATTTAAGGTATAATACTATATTTTACAATGTCAGAACTAAAGCTTTTATGTGAAATTATACCATAAAACACTTTTCACGATTTAGTGAAAATAGTATCTTTAAAAGGGATTTTGTCCTTTCTGCAAGAAAACAAACAGAAGCATATATGATAACCATGTAGGGAGGGAAAAATACATGTTTGTATGAGATTTTATTATTTTGACTTGTTCAGGAGATTGTAAATTTTTCTCTTAAGGAATCAGATAAAGAGTAAATGCCTTATAAATGTTTCATCAAACGATGAAAAAATAAATTAAGGAATAATGACTTCAGTATTGTCAGATGTTTGCCCACCTATGTGAATCAAAAATCTTTTCAGTATTACCATTGTACATGAATTATTCATTAAGGCATCAAGAATAAAAATTTTAAATTAAGTACTAATTAATTCAGTATATACATAAAATAGGGTTCGAAACTGTTACCTGATCATTGGTCAAGTTCTTCCAAAGAGGATTTGTACAAAGTGGTCATGGAAAAACAAGACTTTTATAAGATTTTAGCTAATTTAGAGGCCAGTGAGGGGAAAAAAAAAGAAAATAATTTTTGGGAGTGATTTCTGGTGGCTTTTTTGTTATGAAAAGAAGACGCCAAGCCTAAATAACTATAAACAGATTTTATAAACTCAAATCTTGCATTTAAAATTCATTCAAAAAAGCAAAGCCATAATTTTAAGTGGCACTGACTTAGTGAGACATTGGACATTGTTAGGGACTCCCTTCCTGGGTAGGGAGGGGCTAGGGCAGGGATGGGCTGTTTCTTTAGGGTCAGGTCAAGGGCAAGGTGATGGGGAGGCCTGGCTGACAGCAATGTTAGGCCAAGGCTTGGGCCCCTGGAGCATCACCAAAACAAGGAAGACAGCAAGACCAGGCCTGAAATTTCAGTGTGAAGGGGCAGGCATCAAAAACTTACAAGTTTTGCTAAGAAATTGAAAACAGGAGAGAAGAATAAAGAGGTTTCCAGGCAATAGCTGAATAGGATGGAGGGAGCTGTTGCAGGAGAGAGGGCAGCCCCAGGGCCACAGGCTGGGAATGGCTGTGGGTGCATGGGTCCCTGGAGGATGGAGGGTGGAGCTAGGTCATCAAAGGGGAAGAGCTTGGAGACATGAGTGGGTCACAACTAGACTCCAGAGAGTGTGCACAAAAGATAAAGTAGTTCTTCACACTCAGTTCATCTGTAACACAGAGGAAATGTCATTCTGTCTCTTAACAATGGGTTTTGAATTATGCATGAAATGGCTTGTCTAAAATCAACTGTAGATGCACAATCAGGTCCTTTCAGAGGATTTCCCAAAGGACATAAGAAGAAATGGTAATAAACTTTCTCATTTATAGAATTTAAGAAGAAAATAAAAATATTTACATTTGTTCGCTTTGTACAAAGTCTAAATAACAGATTAATGGTTCCCTGACAGTATTATCATTCAGGATTATTCTCGTTTAACGTATGGACTTTTGAAAACTGCATCTTTAAAATTTACTTTTACTAAACTGTTACTACACATATCTATAGAGATGGCAGTGGCCCACATACTGATCGTTTTTATAACTCTACTTGCAAAAGTTGTCTATAAGTTGCTTCCTCAACTTATGATTTCTGTATTTGTAAATTAAATAGCAATGAGAGAAAAATAGCCATTTCAAACAGTTGAAAAATATCTCTCCAGTCTCTCATAAGGATTGACTTGCGGGCTGGGTGTGGTGGCTCACGCCTGTAATCCCAGCACTTTGGGAGGCCAAGGCAGGTGGATCACCTGAGGTCAAGAGTTTGAGACCAGCCTGATCAACACGGTGATACACTGTCTCTACAAAAAATACAGAATTAGCCAGATGTAGTGGTGCATGCCTGTAATCCCAGCTACTTGGGAGGCTAAGGCAGGAGAATCACTTGAACCCGGGAGGCAGAGGTTGCAGTGAGCTGAGATTACACCATTGCATTCCAGCCTGGGCAACAAGAGCAAGACTACATCTCAAGGAAAAAAAAAAAAAAATTGACTTGCTTCATCAAATGAATAGTACTGTCCTAGAACTGTGGAGCAACTTAATAAAAATAATATATTCCACTATTTTTCAGAGGACCTGTTTTGATTTTCACATTGTAAAATTTTGTTTAAACATAGAATGTTAGCCTTAAAAAATTTGGAAACCTCTGACCTAGTCTAAACTGAGGCCCAAGATCACAGAGCATCTAAATGGCAGTGTTATGACTGGAATCTAAATTTCCTGACTTCCACCCCAGTGCTATTTTCATCAGAACATAGGCAAGTAAAACAAAGTTGATCAAACTGATGTTGAACCTTAAAAAATTGTAATAAAATGTACTTCCAGATTTTGCCAGTATATTTACGATAAATAACAATTAAAATAAAAATAATCTACAAGATCTCCAATCTTGTTTTCTAAAGAAAAAGTTTTCAATCTGTAATACTGATCCGAAGATAAACTTTATGTATCAAGGCCATGTGATACTATTATATTCATATTTTACTCCCTGGACATAAGAGTATAATAGAAGTATATACCACAACCATGGAGGAGGAATTGTGCCAATGTCATAAAATTCAACCCCACAAGTTTTCAATTTTATACCAAAAACATAAAAAAAATAAGAACAGATTAAGAAATTATGCAGAAAACCTATTAAATGTTTAAGAGACAATAAAACTGCCACCAACCCATTAAATATTCTCTTGTAAGCATAAGATCAAGAGCCAATAGTACCAAAGTTCCCAAAAAAAAAAAAAAAAAAAAGAGCGGAGGGAGATAAAATTCTAAAGGGCGAAATTACTGAAAAGTTATAAAAATGGCTTAGTCATGGATGGGAGAATAAATGTATTTAATAGTCTAAACATTATACATACATCCACTATTGTGCATCATAAGCACAATAATTATCACAAGAAGATGAAAGCTGAAGATAGGATGTTTTAATTCAGGATTAAATTAAGAACTTGGAACATTTTCAAATTCCTTAACAGAGACCTAAGAATATGCAGGCCTAAGAACTGATGAACAGTTTATTTAAACAAAGTTGGAAAGAGGACACATATTGTGTTCTTCATGAGGTACATATCTACTGTAGTTTCTTGAAGAAGGACTACAATTTGGAAAAGAAAATGAAATCATTTTCAAATGCAACATGTTGTATAGGATATAAATATGCTTTGTGAATCAGGAAAGAATATTGATTTATGTGACACATTCTTGCAATATTAAATACAGCATCATCATTTTGTTCAAATATTTGCTGACAATATGAAAGATTTCTAAACAGTATTTGTGAATTGTTTCAGCAGACTTGTTGAATTTTAAAGGGAACTCAGTTAAAGAGGTCTTTATTGTTAGGATAGATGCAGAATCTTGGTTTCTTAACAGGTGTTCTCAGAAGGGCACATGGTATGTAGACATTTAGTCAGGTTCTATCATCAGAAGAGGGAGGTCCTACTTTGATTAAGCTCTTTTTATCCAGCCAAGTTAAGATACCTCTGGACTCAGACTGTCTGGTTTTGAATCCTGAGCTCACCATATGCTGGTCATGTAATAATATTCTTCTTGAAAAATTATTTTGTAGTTGTAGTTGGGAAATATGATACAAGCATATTCATTGCTATTGTCTACTATTTTTGTAACTGCTTCCAAACAAAATTTGCAATGTATTTAAATAGCAGAGAAGAATAAAAAGCACTTCAACATCTATATAGCTCTAGCAATATGGCTGATGCCTCTTCCTTTAAGAGTTTTATATCCGCAAATGTTTGCCTTAATGGCCTTGCTGGGTGAAAGGAACAGAAATCAGGGACCTGGGTCCATACTGTGTGAGGAATCACATATAGGAAATTCTCCCCACAATAAGCTGAGGTGCCAAAGGGCTACACCTTCAGGATAAAGTTGAACTGTAAGTAAACCAGCCCTTGCCTAAATTTGTAGTCCAACTTTACATCACCTGGATTTCCCAGTAAAGTTAAGGTGGCTCTATATGGGCAGTATCCCCAAGCTTGTCTTACTGTTACACGTTAAGGCAAAAAAGTATTATAGAAAGTAAAGACAGTAATTTAATAATAAAAAATATTTAATTCATCAGACTCTATAACACTTTATTTTATAAATAACACTTTATATTTGTATGTGTCTAATAACATAGCCTCAAATGGCATAAAGCAAAAGGACAGAATGAAAAGGAGAAATAAAGTCCAACAGAGTTTTATGAGAAATTTGATAGAACAAAATGGGCAAAAAAGACAGTAAGCTTAAAAGAGATTTATACAATCCAATTAACAAACTTAACCTTAATGGTCTTATATAAAACTGTAAGAAGAAAACAATCACAGAATATATAAATATATATAGATATATGAATACATGGCACATTTACAAATGTTAAGCATAATTGGCCATAAAGCAAGTCTTATTTCAATGAATTGAAATCATATAGTGTGGGTTCTTAAATCATAATCTCTAGCAATTAAGCTAGATATAGATAACAAAAAGATAACTAGATTCTACATGTTTCAAAATTTAGAAATTTACTTCTAAATTATTTAAGGGTCAGAGAAAAAATCAAATTAGAAAGTATTTTGAATGGAATAATTATTAAGACACTAACTTTCAAAATTTGTGGATATGGATATGATAAAGAAATATAGGAACTCAAATACACATATTAGAAAAAATAAGAGGTAAAAAACTAATTAGATAAATAAGCACCTCAAGAAGTTAGAAAAAGCGTAAAATAAATATTTAGAAAGACACAGAAAAGAAAATTAAAATAGCAGAAAGCAGTGAAATGGAAACAAGTATATAATACAGAGATTCAACAAAGCCAAAAGCTGATTCTTTTTAAAAAGTAATAATATTGATAGACTTTTGGTGAGATTTTAATCAACAAAAGAGAGTGGCCAGCTGCAGTGGCCCGCGCCTGTAATCCCAGCACTTTGGGAGGCTGAGATGGGCAGATCAATTGAGGTCAGTAGTTCGAGACCAGCCTGGCCAACATGGTGAAATGCCATCTGTACTAAAAATACAGAAATTAGCCGAGTGTGGTGGTGAGCACCTGTAATCCCAGCTACTCAGGAGGCTGAGGCAGGAGAATCGCTTGAACCCGGGAGGTGGAGGTTGCAGTGAGCCTAGATTGCACAACTGCACTTCAGCCTGGGCAATAGAGTGAGGATCCATTTCAGAAAAAAAAAAAAAAAAACAGAGAAGATATAACTTACAGACTATCAACAACAATAAAAGGAATATTACCACATATGCTGCAAAAATGAAAAAAAATTAAAAGATAATATAAACAATTTTATGCCAATAATTTAAAAATATACATGAAATGAATACAATTATGGAAAAATATAACCTATCAAAATTTACTCAAGAAGAAATAAATTATCTGAAACATCCTGAACTGCTAAGTTGAATTGTTAAAAATTATATTTTAAAAAAAGAACACATAAATAAAACCTCTAGGTCCAGATGGCTTTACCGGAAACATCTACCAAACATTTAGTAAAGATATCATATTGTCTTACACAAACTATTTCAAGTACAGAAAAAGAAGAAATAACTTGGCCAGGTGCAGTGCTCACACCTGTAATCCCAGCACTTTGGGAGGCCAAGGTGGGCAGAACACCTGAGGTCAGGAGTTTTGAGACCTGCCTGGCCAACAAGGTGAAACCCCATCCCCACTAAAAAAATAAAAAAATTAGCCAGGCGTAATGGTGGATGCCTGTAATCCCAGCTACTCGGGAGGCTGAGGCACGAGAATCCCTTTAAACCCGGGAGGCAGAGGTTGCAGTGAGCTGAGATCTCGCCACTGCACTCCAGCCTGGGCAACAAGAGTGAAACTCCGTCTCAAAAAGAAAAAAAAAAAGGAGAAAGACCCAAGTTATTTGATGATAATTTTTAATCAACAACAAACAGAAAGAGTATTTATTTATTTATTTTTTTATTTATTTATTGACTTACTTATTTTTAGAGACAGGGTCTCACTCTGTCTCTCATGCTGGAGTGCAGTGGTGTGATCATAGCTCACTGCAGCCTCGAACTCCTGGGCACGAGTCATCCTCCCACCTCGGCTTCCTGGATGGCTGGGACTACAGGCACATGCCATCACACCCAGAATTTTTTTTTTTTTTTTTTTTTTTTTTTTGTAGAAATCGGGTCTTGCTATATTACCCATATTGATCTCAAACTTCTGGCCTCAAGCAATCTTTCTGCCTTGGCATCCAACAGTGCTAGGATTATAGGTATGAGCCACTGTGCCCAGCCTTGTCATTTTAAGACATTATATAAAATAGTTATAAAAGGCTGGGCACAGTGGCTCATGCCTACAATCCCAGCACTTTGGGAGGCTGAGACAGGCAGATCACTTGAGGTCAGGAGTTCGAGACCAGCCTGGCCAACATGGTGAAACCCCCATCTCTACTAAACATACAAAAAATTTGCCAGGTGTGGTAGCCTATAATCCCAGCTACTCGGGAGGCTTAGGCAAGGGAATCGCTTGAACCCAGGAGGCAGAGGTTGTGGTGAGTTGAGATCATGCCACTGCACTCCAGCCTGGGTGACAGAGTGAGACTCTGTCTCAAAAAAAAAAAAAAAAGTTATAAAAAATAAGCCCTAGGAATAAACGTAAAAAGAGTTACATAGGGATTTTACATAGAACTCTATAAGACTTTATTGAAATACTTTTAAAGGGATCTAAGTAAATGAAGAGGTATACTATGTTCACAGATTGGGTTGTATTTACTTGGGTATTGGCCAAACACAGTAAGCATGGGAAAGTGAGTGGTGAGAAATACATTGCAGTGTAAGTGGTTGGCCTTCATGTTCCATTCCTAGACCCAACAAGGGCAGGAGAGGAGCTTAATCTTTGAAGCTCAAGCAGAATGCCTTACCAGTGGCCCCGGGTCTCTTTTTGGGACTGAAAACTGGGATTCTTGACAGCCTCCTCTACCCTTAAGGAATGTATATCTGGGAGCTAGTGCAGGAGAAGGGGAGGTATAGAAGACAATGACTACCAGGAACACATATAGTACAGTGAGGTTTCTTGCTAATAGCAGAGAATACCAACTGTTCTGGAGTCAAGTGCTGGTTGGCTGTCCCCGAAACATGCCAAATCTTAGGCTTTTTTATGCTGCTAAATAGGTTTAGTCCTGTCCCTTTGTGAAGGGTAAAAGTCATCTTACATTATTACAAGTAGTAATTAAAATATGCTCATTAATGTTCTCAGAATTATGCTTTTCATACTTTAAGCTTCAAAAACTTGACATAGGTCGGGCGCAGTGGCTCATGCCTGTAATCCCAGCACTTTGGGAGGCGGAGGCAGGCAGATCACGAGGTCAAGAGATCGAGACCATCCTGGCTAACACGGTGAAACCCCGTCTCTACTAAAAATACAAAAAATTAGCCGGGCGTGGTGGCATGCGTCTGTAGTCCCAGCTACTTGGGAGGCTGAGGCAGGAGAATCACTTGAACCCGGGAGGCAGAGGTTACAGTGAGCTGAGATCGCGCCACTGCACTCCAGCCTGGGCGACGAGCAAGACTCCATCTCAAAAACAAACAAACAAACAAAAAACTTGACATAATTTTAAAAGAAGTAATCACCTTTTCCTGATACAGTTTTTCTGTGGGTAAGTGTGTTAGGGTTCTTCAGAAAAATAGAACCAAGAGCATATATTGGAGAGAGAGAGAGATTTATTTTAATTAATTGGCTCATCTGATTGTGGGCGCTGGCAAGTCTGAAACCTGCAGGGCAGACCTGACAGGAATTGGGGTTACAGTCTTGAGTCCAAAGGAGGACTAGAGACAGAATTCCTTTCTCTTCAGGGGACTTCAGTCTTTTCTCCTAAGGCCGTCAAGTGATTGGTAAGGTCCATCCACATTATGGAGATGATTTACTCAAAGTCTAATGATTTAAATATTAATCACATCTCAAAAATAAACTTTAAGGCAATATCTAGACTGGTGTTTGCACAAATAACTGGGTATCACAGCCTAGCCAAACTGACATATACAATTATGTATCACAGTAAGTGAGCATTTTTATTCACCTGTGAGTTTGGGGACCATTAGAGCCTATTGGAGCCTTCATCCAGCAGTTTTGCCTACAACAGATGATACCTGTCATCCTAGAATACTACTGCCCCTTCTTCTGTTGGAGCTGATTCATTTCTCTTACAGTGGAGGTGTCTTACCTTAAAAAAAAATATATGATAGCCCAGGCGTGGTGGCTCACGCCTGTAATCCCAGCACTTTGGGAGGCCAAGGCAGGCAGATCACTTGAGGTCAGGAGTTGGAGACAAACCTAGCCAAGATGGTGAAACTGTCTCTACTAAAAATACAAAAATTAGCCAGGCATGGTGGTGCGCACCTGTAATCCCAGCTACTTGGGAGACTGAGGCAGGATAATCACTTGAACCCGGGAGGTGGAGGTTGCAGTGAGCCAGGATAACACCATTGCACTCCTGACTGGGTGACAAGAGTGAAACTCTGTCTCAAAAAAAAAAAAAAATTATTTTACCGTGAGAGATGGAGATAGGAGACCAAGGAGTTTCTCAAAGTACATGGTCTATGATCATCTACCCTTATAAGGAGGGGAAGTAAAAGACCTACTGCCTGGATCTTGGTACAGCACAGAGATAATGTTACCCCGGGGTCCTTGCTCCCAGAGCTCCCAAGATGGTGGTGGGCTGCTTCCAAGATGGCGGCAAGACTTTTATTCTCTGACCTGGGGTTTTTGGCCTCACAGATTCCAAGGAATGGAATCTTGGGCCATGCGGTGAGTGTTATAGCTCTATTAGAAGCTGTGACACAGAAGAGAACTGTGGAACCCAGTGACTAGTGTTCAGCTCGATTAGGACGAACCCAGGCACTTAGCCCTGCAGGAACAATGGCAAGCCTTTAGCCCGATTGGAGCAGCAATGGGTGCCTCGCTGGATCAGGAGCACAGTGGGCACCCTACCGGATCCAGAGGGGTGGAATTCAGCGGCGGTCTGCTACGGCGGCAAACAGCAGTGGTGGACGGTGAGCGAAAGCTCAGCTCTAGCCATAACAAACACGGATCAGAAGAGAGTGCAGTTGCAAGATTTAACAGAGTGAAAACACAGCTCCCATACAAAGGGAGGGGACCCAAAGCAGGTAGCCGTTGCTGGCTGGAATGCCTGGGTTTATATCCTGATCATTGTCCTCCCCCTGTGCTCTCAGGCGATAGATGATTGACTATTTCTTTACCTCCCGTTTTTGCCTAATTAGCATTTAAGTGAGCTCTCTTTACTACCTGATTGGTCGGGTATGGGCTAAGTTGCAAGCCGGTGTTTAACGGTGGATGCGGTCACCTTCCCAGCTAGGCTTAGGGATTCTTAGTTGGCCTAGGAAATCCAGCTAGTCCTGTCTCTCAATAACACTTTGTATACATCAGTAAATTGTGTATTTCTGTGCAAAATAAATCAGTTGAGCTAATAATAATTAAGAACTTGCTTCTGAGTAGGTCATAGGCAGAAATAAGGCAATGAAGAGAAAGACCCACTTCTGAACTGCTTTAGTGAATGGAGATGGACCTGCAGGGAACAGGAACCATATTGATGAAGAAATTCTTGGTGGATTTGTAGAAGCAATAGCTGAGGACTGAGCTGTCCCCCTCATTTATTTAGATTGTCATTAATTCCTTATTTGAACCTATGGTTTGCTCCTTTAAACCAATCACCATAGCTGGGGGACTCAGTATAAAGAATGGAAGATGCAGAGGTGATAACCAACAGAGTTAACAACTGGTGCTGCCTCATGGACACCAGCTGATCAGAATGGATGCTGATGATAGCTCAAGATCAAGGATGCAGAATACCTTTGCTGTGCCAACCCTTAGCCTTCAAGTTGTTGGACAGTGCAGGGCTGGAGGAAGGGTCACGGCTTCTGGGTAGCAGAAGGCACTGGCTTATGGGGGTAGGCCTCAGGGCAGTGACTATTTTCCAATCAGTATAAACCAATGTTAATATTATAATTTAGCAACAAGCACAACCACATGGGGTCTGTTGGCTGAACTTTGGTCCATTGGAGAACACCTGGAGGATGGAAGGTACATGGCACTTTCTTCATTCTTCTTTATCTACAGAACCTCTCAAAAGGGGCTTTTTCGTTTTGTAAACACCTGGTGTTAAGAGAGCTGATCTGGCTGCCCACCTAGAGAAGTCAGGGAGGACTCAGATAAACCATTATTCAGGCAATCGAAAATCTGCATAGAACTTTTGACTCCCTCCAAACTTAACTGCTTATAGCCTGTTGTTGCTTGGAAGCTTTACTGATGACACAAATAGTCAATCAATACAATTTTGTATGTCATTTGTGTTAAATACTGTATTCTTACAGAAAAGAAAGTGCTAAGAAAATATCATAAGGAAGAAAAAATACATTTACACTACTGTACTGCATAGACAGTGTAAATTTGTGGCATTTGTTTACAAGATGAATCATCTGTCTGAAATGGCAGGCACAGCAGCAAACCTTAATCTATGGTACAAATCAGGCAATCTGACCTTTCCTCTTAATGTCACGACTCATCCTTGCTTCCTGGGAGCACTTGCAGCACCACTAGTGGCACTTTTTATGGGTCCCATGGTATTACTCAAGGTTTGGGATTTGTACTCAACACGATGAAAAAGACTTGGAGGACCATAAGAGATTGCTTTGCACTGTGATACACGATTTACTGAAGAGACACACTGCTTACTTGGAGATGGTTAGCTCACATGGCGTTTTAAGCAATACTTGCAACACTTGAGTTCACCACAATAGCAATAGGAGATGGCTATGAAATTACTCCAGTAAAAAATAGCATTATTTAGCTGTTGCTCTTAGCTTCATCACTTAAAGATGTCACAAAGAAGAGCAATGGTAGTTTTTATATTTCCTGGACCAAAAATCTTTTTAAAAAAATGAACCTTACTAGATGTTTAATTGAAAGCAAATTACATAGTTTCTGTGTTTTGGCTTTCTTATCTGTCAATGAGTATCACTGTATATACACAGTGAATTTTCGCAGTTACTTTAATACTGCATCTTTATATTTGTTTACATTTCTCTGGACTGTGAATGGTGCCATGCATGGTCTGTAGGTGTCTGTGTACATAAGTATCAACACATTTTAACTTTTTATAATAGAACTGTGTATATTTTTAGTAGTAAATGATAAAATACATATATTTTATGCATTCATGGCATACTTTTTTCTCAATTTTTTTATATTTCTAGGCTACATTGTTCATATGCAAGTTTTTTTCAAATTGTTCAAGTCTCCAAAAATTTTTAAATGTATTTATTGAAAATACCTGCATATAAGTGAACCAGCACAGTTCAGACCCGTGCAGTTCAAGGGCCAAGTGTCACCTGAAATATGGACTATTTGCAAGAGTTCAACTTTTACAAACTTTGTTTTACTTTATATATTTTTTAAACTCAGAAATGTTTCAGTGTGTCTTAGGGCCCCTCAACAGTTATTCAAAGAAAATAAACTGAGCAAACAGATGCATTTTAGAAGGTAATAGGTTAGCGCCAAAGTAATAGCAGGTTTTGCCATTAAAAAATAGCATTATTTAGCTGTTGCTCTTACCTTCATAACTTAAAGACGTCACAAAGAAGAGCAATGATAGTTTTTATATTTCCTAGACCAGAAATCCTTTTAAAAAAATGAACCTTACTAGATGTTTAATTGCAAGCAAATTACATAGTTTCTGTGTCTCAGCTTTCTCATCTGTAAAGTGGGGATGTTAAAAATAGTCCCTATCTCATAGGTTTGTAAGAAGTAAAAGGGAGACAGTATACAAAGTGCTTAGCACAATGCTAAGCACATAGGAGCTGATTTAAAAACAGCTGTTACAATTATTAATGATAAAACTGTGGGTTTCAGAGCCTTGAATCAGTTTTGTTCAATAGTGTGCTCAGAAATCAATTGGAAGAAAAGGATGAGGAAGCCCCACGTCAATGGAAACAATTTGAGCCTATGTGGATAAAACAAGGAGGAAGTTGCAGTAATTGTGAAAGTTAAATCATGATTTTTCTGTGTAGTAAATTTGAATTAAATCTCAGTGTTATAAAATGCTTCTTACAATCACAATTCAAAAATATTTGTGTTTCATGTGCAATGGAACATATCAACAAAAACAAGGTGGAGTTTAATATTGACTTAATTCACATATAATAAATCACTTTATAGATAACTGTAGCATCTTTATAGATAAAGAAGCATAACGTTCTTTAAAAATGTTTGGCCCATAGCCAAGTGCAGTCCCTCAATCACAGCCGTAATCACAGCCATAATCACAAACAACACTGTGGGAGGCCAAGGCGGGAGGATCACTTGAACTCAGGAGTTTGAGGCTGCAGTGAGCTATGCTCAGGCCACTGTAGTCAAGCCTAACAGAATGAGACCCTGTCTCTAAAATATATATATTTGGCCCCTAAACTTATATTTTTGTAACATCTGCACATTTCTATTATGTACCTATTATGTACAACATGTTTTCTTTCCAATTGATTTGTTGTTTGTTGATTTACGGTTCGCAAATATCTTCTCCCAGACTGTGCCTCATCCTTTCATTTTTTTAATTTTTTTCTGAGACAGAGTTTCACTCTTGTTGCCCAGGCTGGAGTGCAGTGGCGCTGTCTTGGCTAACTGCAACCTCCGCCTCCCAGGTTCAAGCTATTCTCCTGCCTTAGCCCCCTGAGTAGTGGGATTACAGGCATGTGCCACCACACCCGCTAATTTTTGTATTTTTAGTAGAGATGGGGTTTCACTATGTTGCCAGGCTGGTCTCCAACTCTTGACCTCAGATGATCCGCCTGCCTTGGCCTCCCAAAGTGCTGAAATTACAGGCGTGAGCCACTGTGCTCCGCCCCTTTCACTTTTTAAAAATGATCTTTGACGAAACTAGGTTTTACATCTTAATGAGGAAGTATTTATCAATACCTTCCTTTATGTATGTGCTTGTGTGTACGTTTGTGTGTATATTTTTAAACTCTTATGCTACCTTAAAGAAATTTAAAAATTTGCTATATTTTATTCTAGCATTTTTGAAGGCTTCCTTTTCACCTTTAGAACCTTATACACTTGAAATAAATTATTGTTTGTGATGTACAAACAAGTCCAAATCCCCCCCCCATATGGGCAACCAATCATAGCAGCACCATTTATTGAAAAGATGACTTTCTCCAGCTCATCTGCAAAGCCGCCTCTGTGATAGACCAAATTTTCATGTGTTCAGGGTTTTGACTCTGGATCTCCTAGTTGTTTCTATTGATTTATATGTCTATCCCTGTGTCAAAACTACTTCAAACTGGCCAGGCGTGGTGGCTCATGCCTGTAATCCCAGCACTTTGGGAGGCCAAGGCGGGTGGATTGCTTGAGGCCAGAAGTTCAAGACCAGCCTGGCCAACATGGTGAAACCCCATCTCTACTAAAAATACAAAAAAAAAAAAAAAAAACAAAAAACATAGCCGGATAGCCGGATGTGGTGGTACTTGCCTATAATCCCAGCTACGTGGGAGGCTGAGGCAGGAGAATTGCTTGAACCTGGGAGGCAGAGGCTGCACTGAGCTGAGATAGTGCCACTGCACTCCAGACTGGGTGACAGAGTGAGACTCTGTCTTAAAAAACAAAAAACTACTTCATTTCTGTTTTAAGGCAAATAGTTATATAAAAGGTTTACTGCAAGGAAACTTAAATCACTTAAAATATTTTAGGATATTAATAACAACTTAGTTTTTAAGAAGTCTAACTCATATAACAACTCAGGAACTATCTATTCTGCAAAAGCATAAAACTACATTTACCGTATGGTCATTGGGGTTAATGTTTGCTTCGCCTGAACGAAAACGATCATTTAACAATATCTGTTGAGTTCAATATTTACAAGTGCAGTGACTGAATGATCAGCAATCACTGGATGTAGAATTTCTGGCATATTTGTTAAATACCAATGTTATTATTTAATAATTGTACTTTAGATTATTAACTCTTAAGATTAAAGTGTGTAAGTTAAGAATTGCCCTTGTCCAAAGCTCAGAGCTTCTAGGAATGGCCTCAATAAAGATAGTATTCCTTTTGTCCTGGAAATTCACTTTTGCTCTGGGCTTTAAGGAATTCTTTGTATATTCTTGAATGTGTATATTGTATGTATGTGAGCGTATGTGTAAACGTGTGCTGAAAGGGTGGAGAAAAGGGAACAATTGCATTTATCATTCTCAAGTTGTTTTCCTGTTCAACTTTTTCAAAATTTGCCCATAGATCAAAGTGTTTGTGTTGAAACCAGGGTCAGTAGTCAGCAGAGAACAGGGCTCTTGCTGCAGCAGGTGGATCAGCTCCCTGATAAGGAGGAGAGAGGAAATGAAGGCATAGAACAGAACCTGCCTTAGGGCAAGTTCAGGCTGCGGTTAAGGATCTTCTTAAAATGTTTATGGCAAATTGGCATCTTGTTTTGAATTTTAGGAAATCGATTGCACAAAAGTCAACTGGGAAGGAAGAAGCAGGAAATTAACCTCACTCTATGAAAATTTAGCTTTAGTGAGTGTGGGGTGTGCATGGTCTAATTTCCAATGCTAGTCCTAAACAAGTCATGGTGATTTCATGGTAAGAGTCTAGAAGTTTATGCCAAGGTTCAAGAGAGAAAGGAAAGTTGATTCCAATAAAGACCACAAGCACGAGCACCCAAGACTGATGGGATCCTTGAACCCATTGATACTGGAACAGTGTACTCTCAAAATATTTCTGAGAGCATACTCAGCCCCTACATTCAACAAAGTTCTTGTTGGAATTAAAAGCAGTTTTTGAAATTTCATATTGCTCTCAGTGACAATTTCAGAACTTACTTTTATTGAGTATTCTGTAACTTCCTGCAAAAACTATAAAATTTCAAGTTAATAACAAAAAACCAGCCCAGGCAACAGAGCAAGACCCCAACTCTACAAAAATTAACTATTAGCTGGGCGTAGTAGAGGTAGTAGAGCATGCTTTTAGTCCCAGTTAATCTGGAGGCTGAGGCAGGAGATTGCTTTAGCTTAGGATTTCAAGGCTGCCGTGAGCTATGATCACGCCACTCGGCACTCCAACCTGGGCAACAGAGAGATCTTGTCTTTTTTTTTTTTTTTTTTTTTTTTCAGAGTGAGTAGCGCAAGGTTTATCGTGAAGAGCGAAAGAAGAACAAAGCTTCCACAGCATGGAAGGGGACCTGAGCGGGTTGCCCAAGACCTTGTCTTAAAAAAAAAAAAAACTTTAAGAAAATGATGTACCAATGTAAACTTCTGAAAATCTCCCCCAACTCAAAGAGAATCATTCATTATTACGGCTGCCTGCTCAAGGAAAAGTAATTAACAATGATAATAGCTAACATTTAAAACTGTTTTACTAGGTACAGGTAGTGATATCTACTGTTGTCTATAAATTTCAATACCCCATGAGGTAAGGCAATATTTTTTTCTGTTTGACAGATAAGAAAACTGAGGCTTAAATGAACTGACGATATAAGTTTTCCTAAAGTTGCATTGCTAGTAAGCAGTGAGGATGAAACTGGAAGTAGGTCTGATTTGACCCCAAAGCCCACACAATTTTTTTCTTAAACAAATTGGTATAATCATCATATAGTAGCTGTGGTAGGCACACACCTTTTTCTAACTCCAGTGCCCAGTAGGGAATAGTTTTTGTTTGGTACAAGGACCAGATAAAGGATAGCCAAGCCCTGCCAGATTGAGACCCTGGGCCAGGTACCAACCTCTCACTAAACCTCAGTTTCCTCATCAGTCTTTACATCCCACAGGGCTTTTCCAAAGCTGACATTAGATGACCCACGTAAGACATCGCATAGAAAGGGCTCAAAACTGGTGGCAATTCTAAGTGTTTAAAACATTCAGGACGCCACACCACCATTTTGTCTTTAAAAGAAAAAAAAAAGCCTTAGGAACTGTGCCCGTACCTAAAAGCCTTGTAGGAGACGCCAGAAGTTTTAGAGATGCCTTTTTACTTGCCTGTTCTGCTTGCATTTCTTAAGTCTTTCTGTTCTTACTGTGCCTTTGTGCATTATGCCCTTCTAAGGCCCACTTGTAAAACTGCAGGATGCTGATTTCCTTACACATAGTATAATTCTCACAATGGATATTTAAAATTTATGGCCAAATCTCCCAAATGAAGGTGGTCTGGCAGCCATAATTTTTTCCTTCTGAACATAAATGACTATTAACTTGTTGGCGTTTTGCAGACAGGTTTTGATGAACTACGATATTTTGCTTAAAATCATTCCAAGAATAATGTCAGACTTCATAACTGCCTTACCCATGACCACCAGCAAGCAAAAATCACCTCCACTGCACAGCTTACGTTAAAACGAACTACAACCACAGAGAGAACTGGGAAGACAAGAACACAGGGCAGACAGCTCCTTTCCTGCAAACACTTGGGAATATACTCAGAAGTGGCACAGAGATTAGACTATAAATATCTATACGTTGATTTCTGCAAGTATAGAAATATGCTGTGAGAATAGATTTTGTAGGCTGTTTCAGATTTGAAAAAACTCAGCAGATGGTTTGACATGAAAACAAAGCAATAATCAAAATTCACTCACAGTGGCAATAGAAATATTTCAGTTAGTAGTGGGGGTGCTGTTTAGAACAAATGTTTCCCAAATGCCAGACGATGTTAAAATGTTCATTCATTCAGAGCAAGGTCAGACAAATTTGCAACATTCCTACATGGAAAAGCAAATGTATGTATGTATGTCAGGGTTACATTTCCAACAATCCTTATTCAGGAAAAGTTGCCAGTTATTCTGAGTGTGCCCTTTCAACTGCTTTGATGTTAAAGTGTTCTTTATGTAATTAATACTTTCCACAGTAGATAATTGTCAATCTGTGGAAAGTTTTAAAATTGTCAAACTCTGAATTTGTTTTTTTGGAAATGTTAATGCTACATGAAATCAAAAAGCCTCAAAACCAAAAATTGACTGCACTTTCTATTTTCCAGGCCACTGGTTTCTCTCATATCAATCATCCCAACAAAGAACAGGGTGGGAAATCGGGCGGGGTGGGTGGCAGCAAGACCTGACACTTGTTCTCAGGCACAATCTCAGTGCAGACACACAGGTTTGCATAGAGAGCTGCAGTCCCCCACACAGAAACCCACTGAGAAGGAGTTTACAATTATTTTCTGTTCAAGAAACATAAAGAAAAAAAATAGAGAGAAAAGGGAAGAATGAAAAATGAAGTTCAGGCCGGACGTGGTGGCTCACGCCTGTAATCCTGGCACTTTGGTAGGCCAAGGCGGGCGGATCACGGGGTCAGGAGATGGAGACCATTCTGGCCAACATGGTGAAACCCCGTCTCTGCTAAAAATATAAAAATTAGCCGGGCATGGTGGCGCACGCCTGTAGTTCCAGCTACTCAGGAGGCTGAGGGGGGAGAATCACGGGAGGCAGAGGTTGCCGGGAGCTGAGATCGTGCCACTGCACTCCAGCCTGGGCGATGGAGTGAAACTTCATCACAAAAAAAAAAAAAAAAAAAAGAAAAGAAAATTGATGTTCATTATGCAATGCATAGTTCCATTAGGACCTTTATTCAAAATCTTTTTGATACTTTGCATTATTTTATACCATCACTAATGAATGAACTTTCTAACACATACAATAGCTCTCAGGCCATGCTACCTTGGGTAAAAATGCTTTTCCTAGATAGGCCTTTCTGTCCTCAACTATAAAACAAGAGTTGGACTCAGTTGCTAAAGTATCTCCCAACACTATCATGGCACACTCATTGACTTCTTTAGCTACCAAATAATACTTTGTGCCTCAGAATGCTTGTTAAGTGGGAAGATTTGGATGGAAGTTAGTGAATATTAAGGATTACTAGCAATTGCATAAAGTGCTATATGCACCACATTTAAGATCTATTTTCATGTATCATATTGTCCTTTTTCTTGCTTCTTGAAACTCTTCTTTCATCATGTTACTTTCCAACTGAAAGCCCTGTGTAGCTTTTCATTATTAAACAAAATAATGAGGCCTCTCACTCAAGTGCCAGGCTTTGCAGGTTAATAAAAATTAGTGAAGCAAGCTGGGCACACTGGCTCACACCTGTAATCCCAGCACTCTGGGAGGCTGAGACTGGCGGATCACCTGAGTTCAGGAGTTCGAGATAGCCTGGCCAACATGGTGAAATCCCGTCTCTACTAAAAATACAAAAAAAAAAAAACAACTTAGCTGGGTGTGGTAGTGTGTACCTGTAATCCTAGCTACTTGAAAGGCTGAGGTAGGAGAATCGCTGGAACCCTAGAGGCAGAGGTTGCAGTGAGCCGAGATGACGCCACTGCACTCTAGCCTGAGCGACAGAGTGAGACTCCATCTCAAAAAAAAAAAAATTAGTGAAGAGCTTCTAGGTACACAGAGGCAAATGAGCCTCTTCCTGCCTATGAAAAGGGACTGTGGGGCTGGGCATGGTGGCTCATGCCTGTAATCCCAGCACTTTGGGAGGCTGAGGTGGGTGGATCACCTGAGGTCAGGAGTTCGAGACCAGCCTGACCAACATGGTGAAACCCCATCTCTACTAAAAATACAAAAATGAGCCGGGCGTGGTGGCAGATGCCTGTAATCCCAGCTACTAGGGAGGCTGAGGCAGGAGAATTGCTTGAACCTGGGAGGTGGAGGTTGCAGTGAGCCGAGATCCTGCCATTGTACTCCAGCCTGGGCAACAAGAGCGAAACTCCATCTCAAAAAACAAAAGAAAAAAGAAAATGGACTGTGGCCACTCAACTCCAGCCTCGGGGGGCCAAACCTTAAAGGATGCCAAAAGTTGCCAAATCTCTCTATTCCTTGAAACAAGATAGAAATCTGATCCTTTGGGTATACTACCTTCAGAATTTTAATATCAAACATAATTTAATAATTATGTTTAAAATGTCCTAAACCTGGTGGCTATATAAAGATCACAAGTGACAGGTGGACTTGGTTAGTTGCTTGGTTGCTGGTTTAGAATTTCTGAGATAAAGGATTAATGTTCTGAGAACCAAGACTCTTTCACATAGCCCTGAGTTATCTTTGGGCCTCCAATACACACCTTTTCTTTTCATTTTGTTCTTAGAATCGGCAACTGAGTCCAACACTCCCAATATACAGATGAGGGCACAGAACATAGTTTTTTTTTTTTTTTTTTCAATTCAGTGGGTACATGTGCAGGTTTTTTCCATGAGTATATTGTGTGATGCTGAGGTTTGGGCTTCTAATGATCCTGTCACCCAAGTCCTACTGAATGTAGTACCTGATAGGTAGTTTTTCAGCCATTGTCCCACCCTGTCTCTCCTGTTTTGGAGTTTCCAGTGTTTATTGTTCCCATCTTTGTGTCTGCGTGTACCTATGTTTAGCTCCCACTTATTATTTATTTATCTATCTATCTATCTATTTATTTATTTATTTATTTATTTATTTTTTGAGACAGAGTCTCGCTCTGTCACCCAGGCTGGAGTGCAGTGGCGCAGCTTGGCTCACTGCAACCTCCACATCCTGGGGTCAGGTGATTCTCCTGCCTCAGCCTCCTGAGTAGCTGGGATTACAGGCACGTGCCACCACACCCAGCTAATTTTTTTTGTATTTTTAGTACAGACGGGGTTTCACTATGTTGGCCAGGCTGGTCTCAAACTCCTCACCTCAAGTGATCCACCTGCTTCTGGCTCCCAAAGTGCTAGGATTACAGGTGTGAGCCACCGCACCTGGCTTTAGCTCCCACTTATAAGTGAGAACAAAAAACAAGGGCTTTGAAAACAGACAGATCTTCATACAAATTCCACATTTGCCATTTGCTACCTGGTGAAATACACTTGACTATTTTGAACCTGTCTCGCTAGCTTTAAAATAAAGTCCAGGGCTGGGTGCAGTGGCTCATGACTGTAATCCCAGCACTTTGAGAGGCCAAGTCAGGAGGACTGCTTGAGCCCAGGAGTTCAAGACCAGCCTGGGCAATACAGGGAGACTCTGTCTCTACAAAAAATTAAAAATTAGCTGTGTGTGGTGGCCTGGGAGGCTGAGGTGGGAGGATCACTTGAACCTGGGCAGTCAAGGTTGCGGTGAGCCATGGTCATACCACTGCACTAACTCTGGGTGACAGAGCAAGACCCTGTCTTTAAATAAATAAAGTTCAGAATTCCTAAGCACTAGGTTGTGAATTGGTTTCTCCCTCTTTTCCCCTCCTCTTGCCAGGCTGGAAGTGCCTTTGGATACATACATCTTTAGTCTTCCACCTGCACTATGCTTTGCCTGTCACTTACCTTGTTTCCACGCAAACTTCAAGGCCTGACTTATATCCCAGTCCCATATGTGGCCCTTTTAGACCAGCTCAGTCTGAAGCAACTTCTCCACCTTATCCTCTCAGAAGCATTTGTTTTGCCATCACCCAAAGTCTTTCTGTCTTTCCTTTGTCTCATTCGGGATTACAAGGAATACACTGAAAATGATCAACTCCCATTGTCGAATTCTAACCTGAGTTAGGAAGAGTGAAGTGACTTGAAAAGAAAACACTCTTAGATATTGTCTAAGTTCCAAATTTTCATAAGTCTTAAACACCATCCCATATATAAAATCATATAACCCTCCACAGTGATACAATACTTCTGCATAGGATAATTCAGAGACTTGGAGAAGGTTATCTTTCAGATGGTTTCTTTTTCAGTGCCAACAAAGACCAATTTCAGGCATCTTTTCTATCCTGCTAGCTAAACAACAACAAAAATAGTATCAATAATAATAATAACTAGCATGTACTATCGCGGCTGCTTCCTCTTGGACCCCAATTTGTGGCCTCAGTTCGAAGCTGCTAAAAGATCCTGCACGAATTTTGCTCTGGGCTATGTTCAGACTTGATGGTGAAATGCTTTGGAAACACTAAGGTACACAGAAGCCTCAGGAGTGTTTTTCGTCAAAGCCTTGCTTTAGTGATAAACCCTGCTCTCAAAGGAGATAAGTAATGCCCTCCTGCGGCAATCCATTTCAATATCTGTCCACCAGAGGTTTCTCTGGAGATTTATTTGCACTAAGTTCCCATGATGTCACATAGAGGTGGTGATCTGGAAACAGAATTAGAGAGAAGTGTTTGGGGGAATTATTCTGATAAATGATTGGTCCAGGAGGATGGTGAAGGGAGAACACAATCCTAATGGGCCTTTCTTACTTGGGATAAATGATCGACTGCCAACTGTCCATAATCTTTCAAAGCTCATAAAATCTAGCCGCACAAATTGCCAAGTGCACATGACGTACCTAGAGTCCAAAAGGAACAAATACTGTCCTACACATAAAGCATCCTTATGTGTGCTTAGAGGGAACTGTCTGTAAAGCTTTGAGAATTTTGTTATGTGGCCAGAAAGTCATTGGAAGAACAAAGCGAACGTTGTCTGGCTGGACAACAACTCAAGACAAGCACTGGGCAGGATGGAGGAGGGAAGCCAAGGAGGCCCCCTCATCAAAGGAGTCCAGCAAAGCCCGAAGGGCACCACACACCCTCAGTTTCTTTTCTCCATTTCCATCAAGCCCAGCACACCGAGACAGTCCCACAGTCTCCACACTCTCAACGTGAGCGCATTCACGATGTTTTGAGGACTCTCTTTTGCCTTTAAACTGCTCCTGAGAGTTAATTTTTCTGGACAAAAATGTGTGGGGTGAGGATTACAATGATTTCTCAAAAGCTCTGCAGATTTCTAGAATGGGTGAGAATCACTTTAAGACAATCAACTGAACAAATAGACAAAGTATAAGAGTTTTCTATTTTTAACTTCAACTCAAGTTCCACAACAGCCCTTTCGGGAGCATCGTGTGGGAAAAGGCAGAGGTGATTCCCTTCATCTGAGGACACAGGTCCAATTTCCTGTGCTCTTTGGCAGCGTGTTTGCCATCTGGTTCTTTCACCTATTTCCATGATCATCTCAACCCTTAAGAATTATTCTCTGCTGGGTGGGGCATGGTGGCTCACACCTGTAATCCCAGCACTTTGGAAGGCCCAGCCAGGTGGATCACGAGGTCAGAAGTTCGAGACCAGCCTGGCCAATATGGTGAAACCCTGTCTCTACTAAAAATACAAAAATTAGCCAGGTGTGGTGGCGCGCACCTGTAGTCCCAGCTACTCGGGAGGCTGAGGCAGGAGAATGGTGTGAAACCAGGAGGCGGAGCTTGCAGTGAGCCAAGATTGCGCCACAGCACTCCAGCCTGGGCCACAGAGCGAGACTCCATCTCAAAAAAAAAAAAAATTCTCTGCAAAGCCCCTTTCCAGTGCCTAAGAGCAGACTTAAGCAAGGGTGTGTCAAAGGCTCATCTTGTTGTGCTGCTAACCCTGTGAAAATGAACTCCCTTTGGGCACAGAAACAACAAAACACAAGAAAAAGAAAATTGAACACTACTAAATTTTGTATTATGGAAATTATAGGGAGTCCAGACTTGTGAAATTTCATCAAGATGAGAACTACATAATTTTTCTTGCAAGCCAAAAATAGAGTGTTCAGGAAGCCCTGCCCTGTGAGCAAGTCACAGTAAAAGTCAAAGGTGGTTAGTAATGTTACAGACACTTGGACCTTCATTCATTCAGACATTGGAATGTGGTCCACTAGTCACCAAAAACCTGACTCAAAAGTGGAGAGAGAGACAGACAAAGAATTAATAACATGCACCAACCTAAAAACCTT